>NC_000012.12:33650541-33803236 GCF_000001405.40 Homo sapiens | reverse complement strand
CTAACACAGAAGGTGGTTGATTTCTGCATTTCCAACTGAGGTACCTGATTCATCTTATTGGGACTGGTTGGACAGTGGGTGTAGCCCAAGGAGGGCGAGCAGAAGCAGGGTAGGGCATCGCCTCACCCAGAAAGCACAAGGGGTCAGGGAACTCCCTCCTCTAGCCAAGGGGAGCCCTGAGGGACAGTGCCATGAGGGACGATGCTATCTGGCCCAGATACTACACTTTTTCCATGATCTTTGCAACCCGTAAACCAGGAGATTCCTTCAGGTGCCTATAAAATAAGGGCCCTGTGTTTCAAGCACAAAACTGGGGGCTCGTTTGGGCAGAAACCCAACTAGCTGTAGTTTCTTTTCATACCCAAGTGGTGCCTGGTATGCCAGTGAGACAGAACCGTTCACTCCCCTGGAAAGGGGGCTGAAGCCAGGGAACTAAGTGGTCTAGCTCAGCAGATCCCACCCCCATGGAGTCCAGCAAACTAAGATCCACTGGCTTGAAATTCTCACTGCCAACACAGCAGTCTGAAGTCAACCTGGGATGCTCAAGCTTGGTGGGGTAGGGGCATCCAACATTACTGAGGCTTGAGTAGGCAGTTTTCCCCTTACAGTGTAAACAAAGCCTCCAAGAAGTTTGAACTTGGGGGAGCCCACTGCAGTGCTGCAAATCTGCTGTAGCCAGGCTGCCTCTCTAGATTCCTCCTCTCTGGGCAGGGCATCTCTGAAGGAAATGCAGCAGCCCCAGTCAGGGACTTAAAGATAAAACTCCCATCTCCCTGGGACAGAGCACCTGGGGGAAGGGGTCGCTATTAGCGCAGCTTCAGCAGACCTAAACATTCCTGCTGCTGACTCTGAAGAGTGCAGATCTCCCAGCACAGTGCTCAAGCTCTGCTAAAGAACAGACTGCCTCCTCAAGTGGATCTCTGACCCCTGTGCCTCCTGAAAGGGAGACACCTTCCAGCAGGGGTTGACAGAGACTTCACACAGGAGAGCTCTGGTTGGCATCTGGCAGGTGCCCCTCTGGGAGAAAGCTTCCAGTGGAAGGAGCAGGCAGCAATCTTTGCTATGCTGCAGCCTCTGCTGGTCTGGAGTGGACCCCCAGCAAACTCCAGCAGACCTGCAGAGAAGGGGCCTGTTAGAAGGAAAACTAACAAACAGAAAACAATAGCATCAACATCAAAAAAAGGATGACCACACAAAGACTCCATCCGAAGGTCACCTAAAGCAAAGACCAAAGGTAGATAAATCCACGAAGATCAGGAAAAACCAGTGCAAAAACGCTGAAATTTCCAAAAACCAGAATGCCTCTTCTCCTTCAAAAGATCACAACTCCTTGCTAGCAAGGGAACAAAACTGGATGGAGAAAGTTTGAAGAATTGACAGAAGTAGGCTTCAGAAGGAGGGTAATAACAAACTCCTCCGAGCAACAGAAGCATGTGCTAAGCCAATGCAAGGAAGCTGAGAACCTTGATAAAAGGTTAGAGGAATTACTAACTAGAATACCCAGTTTAAAGAAGAATATAAATGACCTGATGGAGCTGAAAAACACAGCACAAGAACTTCATGAAGCATAAGTGGGAGATCTAACTTCATGAAGATCAAGTGGAAGAAAGGATATCAGAGATTGAAGATCAACTAAATGAAATAAAGCATGAAGACAGGATTAGAGAAAAAAAGAATGAAAAGGAATGAACAAAGCCTCCAAGAAATATAGGACTATGTGAAAAGACCAAACCTATGTTCGATTGGTGTACCTGAAAGTGATGGGGAGAACGGAACACAGCTGGAAAACACACTTCAGGATATTATCGAGGAGAACTTCCCCAACCTAGCAAGACAGGCCAATATTCAAATTCAGGAAACACAGCGAACTCCACAAAGATACTCCTTGAGAAGAGCAACCCCAAGACACATAATCGTCAGATTCATCAGGGTTGAAATGATGGAAAAAATATCAAGGGCAGCCAGAGAGAATGGTGGGTTACCCACAAAGGGAAGCCCATCAGACTAACAGCATATCTCTCTGCAGAAACCCTAAAAGCCAGAAGAGAGTGGGGGCCAATATTCAACATTCTTAAAGAAAAGAATTTTCAACCCAGAATTTCGTATCCAGCCAAACTAAACTTCATAAGTGAAGGAGAAATAAAATCCTTTACAGACAAACAAATGCTGAAGGATTTTGTCACCATCACGCCTGCCTTGCAAGAGCTCCCAAGAGCTCCTGAAGGAAGCACTAAATATGGAAAGGAAAAACTAATACCAGTCACTGCAAAATCAAACCAAAATATAAAGACCATCGACACTATGAAGAGACACTATCAACTAATGGGCAAAATAACCAGCTAGCATCATAATGACAGGATCAAATTCACACATAACTATTTAACCTTAAATGTAAACAGGCTCAATTCCACAACTAAAAGGCACAGACTGGCAAATTGGGTAAAGAATCAAGACCCATCAGTGTGCTGTATTCAGAAGACCCATCTCGCATGCAAAGACACATATAGGCTCAAAATAAAGGAATGGAGGAATATTTACCAAGCGAATGCAAAGCAAAAAAAAAAAAAAAAAAAAAAAAAAAAAAAAAAGCAGGGAATGAAATCCTAGTCTCTGATAAAACAGATTTTAAACCAACAAAGATCAAAAAAGACAAAAAAGGGCATCACATAATGGTAAAGGGATCAATGCAACAAGAAGACCTAACTATCCTAAATATATATGCACCCAATGCAGGAGCATCCAGGTTCATAAAGCAAGTTCTGAGAGACCTACAAAGAGACTTAGACTCCCACAAAATAATAGTGGGAGACTTTAACACCCCACTGTCAATATTAGATCAATGAAACAGAAAATTAACAAGGATATTCAGGACTTGAACTCAGCTCTGGACCAAGTGAACCTAATAGACGTCTACAGAACTATCCACCCCAAATCAACAGAATATACATTCTTCTCAGCACCACATAGCACTTATTCTAAAATTGGCCACATAATTGGAAGTAAAAAATTCCTCAGCAAATGCAAAAGAATGGAAATCATAACAGTCTCTCCGACCACAGTGCAATCAAATTACAACTCAGGATTAAGAAACTCACTCAAAACCACACAACTACATGGAAGCCTGCTCCTGAATGACTACTGGGCAAATAACAAAATTAAGGCAAAAATAAATAATTTCCTTGAAACCAATGAGAACAAAGACACAACATACCAGAATCTCTGGGACACAGCTACAGCAGTGTTTAAAGGGAAACTTATAGCACTAAATGCCCACAGGAGAAAGGAGAAAAGATCTAAAATCAACATCCTAATATCACAATTAAAAGAACTGGAGAAGCAAGAGCAAACAAATTCAAAAGCTAGCAGAAGATAGGAAATAACTAAGATCAAAGCAGAACTGAAAGAGATAGGGATACAAAAAACCCTTCCAAAAATTAATGAATCCAGGAGCTGGTTTTTTTTTTTTTTTTTTTTTGAAAAGATTAACAAAATAGACCGGTAGCCAGGCTAATAAAGAAGAAAATAGAGAAGAATCAAACGACATAATTAAAAGCGATAAAGGAGAGCTGACCACTGATCCCACAGAAATACAAACTACTATCAGAGAATACTATAAACACTTCTACACAAATAAACTAGAAAATCTAGAAGAAATGGATAAATTCCTGCACACAAACACCCTCCCAAGACTAAACCAGGAAGAAGTCGAATCTCTGAATAGACCAATAACAAGTTCTGAAATTGAGACAGTAATTAATAGCCTACCAACCAAAAAAGGCCCAGGACCAGATGGATTCATAGCCGAATTCTACCACAGGTACAAAGAGGAGCTGGTATCATTCCCTCTGAAATTATTCCAAACAATAGAAAAAGAGAGACTCCTTCCTAACTTATTTTAGGCATCATCCTGATATCAAAACCTGGCAGATACACAACAAAAAAAAAAAGAAAATTTCAGGCCAGTATCCCTGAAGAACATCTATGCAAAAATCCTCAATAAAATACTGGCAAACCGAATCCAGCAGCACATCAAAAAGCTTCTCCACCATGATCAAGTCAGCTTCACTCCTGGCACGCAAGACTGGTTCAACATACGCAAATCAATAAACGTAATCCATCACATAAACAGAACCAATGACAAAAACCACATGATTATCTCAATAGATGCCGAAAAGTCCTTCAATAAAATTCAACACCCCATCATGTTAAAAACACTCAATAAATTAGGTACTAATGAAACAGATCTCAAAATAATAAGAGCTATTTCCAACAAACCCACAGCCAATCTCATACTGAATGGGCAAAAGTTGGAAGCATTTCTTTTGAAAACCAGCACAAGGCAAGGATGCCCTCTCTCACCACTCGTATTCAACATAGTATTGGAAGTTCTGGCCAGGGCAATTAGTCAAGAGAAAGAAATAAAGCATATTCAGTTAGGAAGAGAGGAAGTCAAATTGTCTCTGTTTGCAGATGACATAATTTTATATTTAGAAAACCCCATGATCTCAGCCCAAAAATCCTTAAGCAGATAAGCAACTTCAGCAAAATCTCAGGGTACAAAATCAATGTGCAAAAATCACAAACATTCCTATACACCAATAATAGACAAACAGAGAGCCAAATCATGAGCAAACTCCCATTCACAATTGCTACAAAGAGAATAAAATACCTAGGAGTACACCTTCAAGGGATGTGAAGGACCTCTTCAAAGAGAACTACAAACCACTGCTCAAGAAAATAAGAGAGGACACAAACACATAGAAAAACATTTCATGCTCATTGATAGGAAGAATCGGTATCACAAAAATGGCCATACTGCCCCAAGTAATTCATAGATTCAGTGCTATCCACATCAAGCTACCATTGACTTTCTTCACAGAATTAGAAAAAAAATACTTTAAATGTTATATGGAACCAAAAAAGAGCCTGCATATCCAAGACAATCCTAAGCAAAAAGAACAAAGCTGGAGGCATCATGCTACCTGACTTCAAACTAAATTACAAGGCTACAGTAACCAAAACAGCATGGTACTGGTACCAGAAAAGACATGTAGACCACTGGAATAGAACAGAGGCCTCAGAAATAACACCACACATCTACAACAATCTGTTCTTTGACAAGCCTGACAAAAACAAGCACTGGGGAAAGGATTCCCTATTTGATAAATGGTCTTGGGAAAACTGGCTAGCCATATGCAGAAAACTGAAATTGGACCCCTTCTTTACACTGTATAGAAAAATTAACTCAAGATGGATTAACGATTTAAACATAAGACCTAAAACCATAAAATCCCTAAAAAAAAACCTTGGCAATATCATTCAAGACATAGGTATGGGCAAAGACTTCATGACTAAAACACCAAAAGCAATGGCAACCAAAAACAAAATTGACAAATGGGATTTCATTAAACTGAAGAGCTTCTGCACAGCAAAAGAAACTATCATCAGAGTGAACAGGCAACCAACAGAATGGGAGAAAATTTTTGCAATCTATCCATCTGAGAAAGGGCTAATATCTAGAATCTACAAGTAACAAATTTACAAAAAAAAAAACCCATAAAAAGTGGTGAAGAATACAGACAGACCCTTTTCAAAAGAAGACGTTTATGTGGCCAAAAATCAATGAAAAAAGCTCATCACTGGTCATTAGAGAAATGCAGATCAAAACCACAATGAGTTACCATCTCATGCCAGTTAGAATGATGATCATTAAAAAGTCAGAAAACAACAGATGCTGGAGAGGATGTGGAGAAATAGGAACACTTTTACACTGTTGGTGGAAGTGTAAATTAGTTCAACCTTTGTGGAAGACAGTGTGGCAATTCCTCAAGGATCTGGAACCAGAAATACCATTTGACCCAGCAATTCCATTACCGGGTATATATCCAAAGGATTATAAATCACTGTACTATAGACTCATGCACATATGTGTTTATTGCAGCACTATTCACAATAGCAAAGCCTTGGAACCAACCTAAATGCCCATTAATCTTAGACTGGATAAAAAATTTGCTACATATACACCATGGAATACTATGCAGCCATAAAAGAGAATGAGTTCATGTCGTTTGCAGGAACGTGGATGAAGCTGGAAACCATCATTCTCAGCACACTAATACAGGAACAGAAAACCAAATACCACATGTTCTCACTCATAATTGGGAGGTGAACAATGAGAACATATGGGCACAGGAAGGGAAACATCACACACTGGGGCCTGTCAGAGTTTGGGGGCAAGGAAAGGGATAGCATTAGGAGAAATAGCTAATGTAGATGACGGGTTGATGGGGGGTGCAGCAAACCACCATGGCACATGTATACCTATGTAGCAAACCTGCAAGTTCTGCACATATATCCCAGAACTTAAAGTATAATTTAAAAAAAAAAGAAAGAAAGAGAAACGTCTTCTGCCAGATAACCTAAATCATCCCTCTCAAGTTCAAAGTTCCACATAGCTTTAGGGTGGTGGCAAAATGCTACCAGTCTCTTTGCTAAAGCATAAACTGGAACATCTTTGCTCCAGTTCCCAACAAGTTCCTCATCTCCATCTGAGACCACACCAGCCCTGACTCTATTGTCCATATCACTATCAGCATTTTGGTCGAAGCCATTCAACAAGTCTCTAGGAAGTTCCAAACTTTTCCACATTTTCCTGTCTTCTCTGAGCCCCCCAAACTGTTCCAATCTCTGCCTGTTACCCAGTTCCAAAGTTACTTCCACATTTTTGGGTGTCTTTACAGCAGCACCGTACTACCTGGTACCAATTTACTGTATTAGTCCATTCTCTTGCTGCTAATAAAGACATACCCAGTACTGGGTAATTTATAAAGGAAAGAGGTTTAATTCACTCACAGCTCCGCATGGCTAGGGAGGTCTCAGGAAACTCACAATCATGGTGGATGGGGAAGCAAACACAACCTTCTTCATATGGTGGCAACAAAGAGAAGTACAGAGAAAAAGAGGGGAAATCCCCCTTATAAAGCCATCAGATCTCGTGAGAACTCACTCACTATCATGAGAACTGCATGAGCACAACAGCCCCCATGATGAAATTATCTCCTACCAGGTCCCTCCTGTGACACATAGATACTATGGGAACTATAATTTGAGGGGAGATTTGGGTGGGGATACAGAGCCAAACCATATCAACATATAAATGTAATCATACAGTATTTGTCTTTCTACATCTGGCTTATTCACTTAGTTCATCCATGTTGTCATAAATAGCAAGATTTCCTTCTATTTTTAAGGAAGAATAATATTCCATTGTGTGTGGTGAGGATCAGTGGTGCCAATGTCAGGGACCCGATGTGTCTGTTGTGTTGGTATGCAAGGCCTGGTCAGTCACTCACAGAGGGGCCACAGTGTTGGGTTCTGGAGCACAGGCCCATGAGGAACAATCATGGCTCTGTGGTTTAGGAGGTGGGCATAACCACTGCAGTGGTGACTGATGTCTGAGGCACTGGTATGTGCCAGTTTCTGAGGTGTAGATGCTTGTGGAGTGCTCAGAGTCTAGACCACAGGCATGCACAGAGCATTTGTGGCGTCAAGGCTCAGGCATGTATGTGGTTGCAGAGATTGGGGGAGTGGGAGTGATAGCCCAGCCCAGGAGACACAGTTGCATTTACACCTGCTGCATGGCTAATACTGTTCTTAACCACGTCCAGGCATCTCAGCTACACTGATATCCACAGCAAACTGCATGGGATGAAACTGAAGCCAGTGTTTGAGGCAGTGCCCCAAAAGTTTGGGGAAGCTGATCACTCACTCTGCCCTCCTTTTCCCTTCAAGGGGAATTCATGGTTCAGAAAGGTTCACCTCAGCCCTGAACTGTGCCTGTATTTTTTGCTCTCCTGTGTTGCTGCAGCCTCTTAACTATACTCCCAAGCTCTCCCAGAGCTATTTGTATTCCTGGAAAGCTATGTAATTGTTTTTATGGAAGGCCTAAGACTGGTATACCCTACTCTGCCATCTTGCTGGCATCACTCCCAACTTAGCTCTTTTTATATTTAAAGTTACCTGCTGGCACATTTGGGGGTGGGGTGCAAACAAAGCCTAGACTCTGTGAGTACATTCTGTATTTTACTCTAATTAACATCTCAATTGGTTCTCAATTGGTTCTCAATTGCAAGTCTGGTTCTTAGACTTGCAGTGACTAAGAAGGTCATGGTCATATCCTCAGTTTGAAGCAAACCATTAGCTCTGTAGGCATTCATGCATGTGCCCCATGCTGTTTCTCTGCCTACTTTTCTTATACACCTTTCCAACTTTGAACCCAAGAGGTTAGGACAAACCTCTAATTATACCATTAAGGGCAAGCTTTTTTCAAGGCAAAGACCAGGAGCTTTCGTTTTAGGTCAGTCCCCATGTGGCTACATTTAAAGTTCATCTGAATTAACATTCAGTGATATTTTTGTCAGATGTGACTGAAAGCAACATTATTACAGTGGAATAATAGTGCAAATAACTCTGCATAGCTCCATTAAACGCCACATTGTTCTATAATGGATGTGACATTTCATTATTTCTCAAACATCAAATGCATCATGGCACTCATTGCCATATTAATATACTTTAGGTATATTAATATTTGTGACAGATGTGATAACTCTAGGAAGACTAAAAAGAATAAAGATGACTGATAGGGGCATAACAGTTACCAGATATGCTTATGAGGCCCACTAAAAATGAACCACGAATCGAGTATATAATTATCAGTGACCTTATCCACCCTACTGATAGTGCTAGTGAACCCATCATTCTGGCATCCAGAAAGAAGCATATCCAGATTCCTTTAATTGCCTAAAAGACTGCAAGTGAGTTGTCTTTTGTGTGATGATCTGGTCCTCTTTTTTTTTTTTTTTTATTATACTTTAAGTTTTAGGGTACATGTGCACATTGTGCAGGTTAGTTACATGTGTATACATGTGCCATGCTGGTGCGCTGCACCCACTAACTCGTCATCTAGCATTAGGTGTATCTCCCAGTGCTATCCCTCCCCCCTCCCCCCACCCCACAACAGTCCCCAGAGTGTGATATTCCCCTTCCTGTGTCCATGTGATCTCATTGTTCAATTCTCACCTATGAGTGAGAATATGCGGTGTTTGGCTTTTTGTTCTTGCGATAGTTTACTGAGAATGATGATTTCCAATTTCATCCATGTCCCTACAAAGGACATGAACTCATCATTTTTTATGGCTGCATAGTATTCCATGGTGTATATGTGCCACATTTTCTTAATCCAGTCTATCATTGTTGGACATTTGGGTTGGTTCCAAGTCTTTGCTATTGTGAATAATGCCGCAATAAACATACGTGTGCATGTGTCTTTATAGCAGCATGATTTATAGTCATTTGGATATATACCCAGTAATGGGATGGCTGGGTCAAATGGTATTTCTAGTTCTAGATCCCTGAGGAATCGCCACACTGACTTCCACAATGGTTGAACTAGTTTACAGTCCCACCAACAGTGTAAAAGTGTTCCTATTTCTCCACATCCTCTCCAGCACCTGCTGTTTCCTGACTTTTTAATGATTGCCATTCTAACTGGTGTGAGATGGTATCTCATAGTGGTCTGGTCCTCTTTAAGTACTTTAAGAAACTCTCCTGCACAACATAAAGCAAGCCTTCTCATTGTCAAAAACTGCTGGCTTTTAAAATAGAACTTTCAAGCATGAATATTTGAAACCACATGAAAAAAGTTTAAGTGCCACTATAAACTCCTGGAAATGAGGTGTAAAAATGAGATGATAAGCAAAAGAAAGATTTAGAAATGGTTTCATCCAATAGGATGAGGGAGAAGCAGGTAGATTTGCCATTGTCTTCGCTTAGGGGAGTTTGACTTGATCATTTCTAATTCGAATAATCCGTTAAATACCTATCATGTAAATATGGGCAAGGTTTAAAAAGCAAATTTTCTAAGACTCATAGGCATAGTAAAAACACATAGCAAACATGGAGATTTATAGAGGTCTGGTCTTCTGACCAGAGATTAATTTTAGAATAAAAAATTATATGCACCAATGATATTGATCCTCTAAGTCCATTCAATTATAATGGATGCTAGGATTCTGCCAAAGGTGATCATCTCTTCCATTGACTCAACAAATTTGTAGTCTAATTTCAGGGAAAGATAAATGGGTTTTAGGTATGATTTCTATTTCACTATATGAGAGAGTGAGTTAGCATGGAAGAAATAGTTCAGGTGAAAGGCTGGGTGAAAGATTCTCAGGAGGTAAAGAAGACTCAAACTAGCTGAGCACTTTGCAACTGTAAGAATATGACACAGAGGAGAAAGTGTAAAGGACTCTCTCCTTATTGGAGCTGCACAGCTGGTATGAGGTTCTCTCTGCAAGGAAGAAATGGATCTCTCAGAAAAAAACCTAGGCATGCCTCACTTAATTATACCAATAATTCATCGGAGTTTGCAGGATCAAGAACTTGAGGTTCAAGAACTTCTTATCAAGTTCTTGATCCTGCAAACTCCCGTGAATTTAATTAGTTAAATTGAAAAAATGTTTATTGTTCACTTAAAATTAACTCATTAGAATTACCATATGATTGAGCCATCTCACTTCTGGGTGTATATCCAAAATAATTGAAAACAGTATCTCAAAGGGATATTTGTACACCCATGTTTATCGCAGCATTATTCACAATAGCCAAGAGATCAAAGCAACCTAAATGTTCATCAACAGATGACTGGATAAAGAAAATGTGATATATACACATGATGAAATACTATTCAGTTTTTCAAGAAGGAAATCCTGTCATATGGTACAATATGGTTGAACTTTGAGAACGTAATGCAATAAACCTATCACAGAAGGAAAAATGCTGCATGATTCCTCATTTATGAGGTATCTAAAGTGGTCAAATTCATAGAAGCAGAAAGTAAAATGATGACTGCAAGGAGCTTGGGGGGGAGGGAGAAACAGAGAGTTGTTGTTCAGTGGGTGTAGAGTTTCAGTCATACAAAATGAAAAATCCCTAGAGATCTGCTGTACATAAAAGCACATATAATTAATACTATAATGTATACTTAAAGATATAAGATAGATTTCATGTTATGCTTTTAACAAAATAAAAAAGTTGTTAATGATTAAAACTTTATTCATCTTTTTCATTTATTTATTAGAATTTTAGCATTTACTGTGCCAGCCTTATAATAAGAAATGCAACTAACTAGAAAAATAGCGATTTTTCTTTCTTCCAGTCTAGAATAGAGTTCACATTTCACATGTGTTTGAGGACATTTTAGCACTAAAACACACTGCGTTGGCCATTATGTAAGCTAGGTGGGGCTGTGCATAATGTAACATCATTTTAATTTAAATTGCCAACCAGCAGAGAGAAAGTGATCAATATGATTGTATCTGAAAATGAAAGGTAGAAACAAGGTAACTTAAATGGACCAGAAAGATGAACTGCCTCAAGGATGGGCTTTGGTCAAATCACAGATTTCTTGGGGCATAGGCATAGTGGTGTGATACAAGATACTTTGACCTATAAGACTGTAAATTATAAGACATAGGCAGGGAGTAAAAGAAAAGGCCTTTAGGAAGCAGAGATAGTTAACTCCTAGGAGAACTGCAGAGTAGAATGGTGTCAGATACTGTGAACAATCTATGTTTTTAGCCTGTTTGCAAGGCGACATGTTAGCCTGTCAGTTTCATAGGTCCTAGCAGAAAAATACAAGACTTCTAGGTCAGAGACATAGGCCTTTATTACTCACAGTGCTACAGGAAGCTTGATATTCATGTTTGCATCCATTCTCCTTGTTCCCAAGTCCCATAGGGGTGATACAGAGCAGCCCAGGCAGACATGATACACACTGTGAGTTCACAGCTGGGGAATCCCAAGCTTAGAGAACCTGGATCTGTTAAAATGGGCTGCCAGTAAACTTGCCCTACCTTTGTCTCAGAGGGAGACATTGTATTTATTATACTGAACAATAAACAAACCTCCCAACTGCTCCTGAAGGAGACACTATCTCTGTCTTCCAAGTTTGTTAGCTACACAAGTATACAAAATAAAAAATAGTCCAGAACAAAGGCTACCTGATATGGTTTGGCTTTGTCCCCACCCCAATCTCATCTTGAATTCTAGTTCCCATAATTCCCACCTGCTGTGGGACGGACCCGGGGGAAGTAATTGAATCACTGGGGTGTGTCTTTTCTGTGCTGTTCTCATGATAGCGAATAATTCTCATGACATCTGATGGTTTTATGAAGGGGAGATCCCCTACAAGAACTCTCTTTTATGCTGATATGTAAGACATGACTTTGCTCCTCATTCACCTTCAGCCATTTTTGTGAGGCCTCCAAGCCATGTGGATCTGTGAGTCAATTAAATCTCTTTCCTTTATAAGCTACCCAGTCTCAGGTATTTTTTTATTAGCAGCATGAGAACAGATTACTATAGTAAATTGATACCAGTAGATTGGGGTTCTGCTGTAAAGATACCCAAAAATGTGGAAGCAACTTTAGAACCAGGTAAGAGATGAAGGTTGGACAATTTGGAGGAATCAGAAAAAGATAGGAAAATATGGGAAAGTTTGGAACTTCCTAGATACTTGGAAAGTTCAGAAGACAGGAAGATGTGGGAAAGTTTGGAACTTCCTAGAGACTTGTGGACTGGCTTTGACCAAAACACTGATAGTGATATGAACAATGAAGTCCAGGTTAAGGTGGTCTCAGACGGAGATGAGGAACTTCTTGGGAACTGGAACAAAGGTGACTCTTCTTATGTTTTAGCAAAGAGACTGGCAGCATTTTTCCCCTGCCCTAGAGATTTGTGGAACTTTGAACTTGAGAGAGATAATTTAGGTCATCTGGTGGAAGAAATTTCTAAGTGTTCTAAGTGTTCAAGAGGAAGCAAAGCATAAAAGTTTAAAAAGTTTGTAGCCTGATGATGTAGTAGAAAATTTCTCCCCATTTTCTGGGGAGAAATTCCAGCTGACTTCAGAAATTTGCAAAAGTAATGGGGAGCCAAATGTTAATCATCAAGACAACGGGGAGAATGTCTCTTCATCATGTCAGAGGTCTTCAGGGCAGCCCCTCCCATCATGAGCCTGTAGGCCTAGGAGGAAAAAAAATGGCTTCCTGGGCTTGGCTCAGGGCCCCCCTGCTGTGTGCAGGTTTGGGACTCGGTGCCCTGCATCCCAGCCCCTCCAGCCATGGGTAAAAGGGGCCAAGGTACACTTTGGGCCATGGCTTCAGAGAGTGCAAGCCCCAAGACTTAGCAGGTTCCACGTGGTGTTGAGCCTGCAGGTGAACAGAAGTCAAGAATTGAGGTTTGGGAACCTCCACCTAGATTTCATAGATTTCAGAGGATGTATGGAAATGCCTGGATGTCTAGGCAGAAGTCTGCTACAGGGGTGGAGTCCTCATGGAGAATCTCTACTAGGGCAATGGAGAAGGGAAATGTGGGGTAAAAGCCCCCAAAGAGAGTCTCCACTGGGGCACTGCCTAGTGGAGCTATGAGAAGAGGGCCACCGTCCTCCAGACCCAAGAATGGTAGATACACTGACAGCTTGCACTGTGCACCTGGAAAAGCCACAGACACTCAGTGCCAGCCTGTGAAAGCAGCCAGAACGGGGGCTCAACCCTGCAAAGCTACAGGGGCAGTGCTGCCCAACGCTGTGACTGCCCCCCTCTTGCATCAGCATGACTTGGATGTGAGACATGGAGTCAAAGGAGACCATTTCAGAGCTTTAAGATTTGACTGCACTGTTGGATTTTGGACTTGAATAGGGCCTGTAGCCCCTTTGTTTTGGCCAATTTCTCCCATTTGAAATGGGTGTATTTACCCAATGCCTATACCCCCATTGCATCTAGGAAGTAACTAGCTTGCTTTTGATTTTATAGGCTCATAGGTGGAAGGGTCTTGGCTTATCTCAGATGAAACTTTGGACTGTGGACTTTTGAGTTAATGCTGAAATGAGTTAAGACTTTGGGGGGCTGTTGGGAAGGCATGATTAGTGTTGAAATGTGAGGACATAAGATTTGGGAGGGGCCAGAGGCAAAATGATATAATTTGGCTGTGTTCCACCCAAATCTCATCTTGAATTGTAGCTCCCATAATTCCCACATGTTGTGGGAGGGACCCAGTGGGAGGTAATTGAATCATGGGGGTGGGTCTTTCCCATGCTGTTTTTGTAATAGTGAATAAGTATCATGAGATATTATGGTTTTATGTAGGTGAGTTCTCCTACAAAACTCTCTTGCCTGCTGCCATGTAAGATGTGATTTTGCTCTTCTTTCACCTTCAGCCATAATTATGAGGCCTCCCCAGCCATATGAACCTGTGAGTCAATTAAACCTCTTGCTACCAAGCCACTACTCCTGCAGAAATGTGAAGGACCAATGGAGATCATCCCCAATAAGCAGGAGTTCCTTTAGTTTAGAGTGAGCTATTCTAAGCCAGGAGAGAGTGGAGCAGGGGTGGAAGGAGAACTTAATCTAGAATTCAAGGCTCTTAATGACATCAGGTTACTAACATTTAAGCCAAGAACCAAGGAAAACAACCAGTAAGTTAGTCACATAAGCATTAAGTTGGACATCTACAGCAAAATGCTTACAGAGGGAGTCAGGCTCAGGTGCTTCACTTTAGAGGGCAAAGGTTTTCTAAAATACTTCTGGGTCATCTTCTCAGTAGCTCAATAGCTAAGGCTGCAGGATTAGGTCCACTGGCAGTTTGGCATGGCCTGACATGCTCATGCAATGCTAAAGAGTTTTCTCCACTACAGGGGTACACCACATCAACTAAAGAGCCAACAAGGAAATGGGTTTGCTGATCATGTCTAACTAATTTGATATCTCTCACTTGCACTTATAAAACACAATTATTTCCATTGTATTCACTCATTCTTTACACCCAAGATAATATTTGCACTTACCATTTAATAACTATTTTTGTGCTATTATATCTTCAATCAGGTTATAAGAAATCAGAGGTGCATATGAAATTTATTTTGCAGCTTGTAAATCATCCTAGCCTTATGAGCACAGTGCTGACTACACAGTACATTCCCCAAAATGTTTCTTGACTCATTTTTTGTGTAGTTTTTGAGAAACTCCAAGTCCCTGTGCCTCTTTAGAACAAGTCTGAAAGAATTTGGGGATTGTATAAACCGTTGAAATTTCTCTGGCCTAAACATTATACTTGTGTGAATATTGCTTTTAAGTTACAGAAATTAAATATATGAACTGAAAGCAAAGTCAAACTTCATATTAAAGTGCCTGAGTTATCCTCACATGCTTTGGAATATGTTGTACATTTCTCAAAAAAACGATTAGAGAGATTCTTGAGAAATGTAACTGAGCAAATAATATCTGTTTGATTTGGGATTCTGAGAGAAATTGTACCTGGTAAGCAACACAATATTTTCCTTTCCTCTGATTCTAGTAAGAGATCAGTTAGGGGATCCACAGCTTCAAGGTAACACAAGCACTGAAGGTTATAAAAAGTCAGTGCCAGCCATGGAGGTTATAAAAGTCACTCTTCCTCCATAGAGGAGAGAATGAAGCCTATTATGTACAAAATACAAGGTAATAAGTAGGATAAAAACAAAATACTAGGCCGGGCATGGTGGCTCACACCTGTAATCCCAGCACTTTGGGAGGCTGAGGTGAATGGATCACCTGAGGTCAGGAGCGTGAGACCAGCCTGGCCAACATGGCAAAACCTCATCTCCACTAAAAATACAAAAATTAGCTGGGCATGGTGGTTTGTGCCTGTAATGCCAGCTACTCAGGAGGCTGAGACAGGAGAATCGCTTGAACCCCAGAGGCAGAGGTTGCAGTGAGCTGAGATCATGCCATTGCACTCCAGCCTGGGCAACAAGAGTGAGACTTCGTCTCAAAAAAGGAACAACAAAATATTAAACACTGGGGAAACGCTTCATGAAATTGGACTGGGCAAGATTTTTTTAAGAAGACTTCAAAAGCACAAGCAACCAAAGCAGAAATAGTCAAATGGGATTATCAAACTAAAAACCTTCAGCATAGCAAAGGAAACAATCAATAGAGTGAAGAGAGAACTTTAAAAAATGGGTGAAAGTGTTAATATTTGCAATCTATGCATCTGAGAAGGGGTTAACATTCATAATATGTAAGGAAGTCAAACAACTCGATAGTAAAAACCAAATAACACAATTAAAAAATAAGCAAAAACCTAAATAGGCATTTCTTAAAAGAAGACCTACCAATGGCGAACAGGTATGTCAAAAAATGTCCCATATCTCTAATCATCAGGGAAATGCAAACCAATGCCACACTGAGATATTACCTCACCGCAGGCAAAATGGCTGTAAAGGATACAAAATAAATGCTGGCTAGAATGTGGAGAAAAGAGAATGCTTAATGCACTTTGGTAAGAATGTAAATTAGTAGAGCTGTTATGGAAAATAGTATGGAGCTTACAAAAAATTGAAAGTAGGACTACCATATTGCTCAATATGGTATTGATCCAGCAAACCCATTACTGGGTAAATATCCAAAGGACATGAGATCAGTACTTCAAAGAGATATCTGCACTCCCATGTTTATTGCAGTACTGTTCATAATAGCCAAGATAAGTAATAAACCTAAGTACCTATCTACAGATAAATGGATAAAGAGAATGTGGAATAAATATACAATGAAATACTATATGGCTATAAAACAGAATGAAAACCTGTCATTGTGGTAACATGGATGAACCTGGAAAACATTATGTTAAGTGAAATAAGCCAGGCACAAACTGACCCTAAATGATCTCACTCATATGTGGAATCTAAAAAAGTTATTTCATAGAAGTAGAGAGTAGAATAGTGGTTATCAGAAGCTGAATAGAGTAGGGAGGAAGGGAGTACTGGGAGAGGCTGGTTAATGGGTACAAAGTTACATTTAGACAAAAAGAAAAAGTTCTGATGTTCTATTACACAGTAGGATGATTATAGCAATATGCATATTTCAAGATAGCTAGAAGACATTTTGAATGTTATCACCACAAAAAATGATAAATGTTTAAAGTGATAGGTATGGTAATTACCCTGATTTGATCATTTTACAATGTATACATGCATTGAAACATCACACTGTACCCCATAAATATGTGCAATTATGTGTCAAGTATAAATAAAAATCAATAAGAAAAAAATAGAGCTAAATATATTTTTTGAAACAATGAATCTCATTTATTCAATACATATATAAAAGAGAATAAAGGGACATGTTAAAAAATGACAATAAGAAAAGACACTATCTAACTTCAAGGACATCACAGTCTACTAGATGACATAGAAATTAATCAACTCTTTAAACAAATGTAAAATTGCAACTTTGAGAAGAGCTATAAAGAATAGAACTATCATGTTATGAGAGTTTTGATGGGGGCTTTGGCTGAGTTTAACGATAGAAGAGACTTAGATGGCTTGCCTCAGATAGTGATATTTGTGTTAACTTTGAAGAATGAGTAGAGATTAACTCAGCTGAGGAGAATGGTAACAGCCTTTCAAACCCCAGGGAACAGCCTTGTGCCAGAGTTTGTGATTGAAGGGATCAAGGTATTTCTGAGAGGCTGAAGGGCTAGTATTTCATGAGCAGGGAGAAGAAGGATTGCACCCAGTACTGGAGAGAATGGCCTTGCATAGTCTTTATAACTCATAATAAGGGTTTTAATGTTTGCTATAATATCAATAGGAAGCCTTTGAAGGATTTTAAACAGGAGAGGGAATATTAAACTTGTCTTTCAAAGGATAATTTTACCTGCAGTGTGGATAATTAAAAAAAAATTGGAGTAGATGTGAGTAGAACATGTAGATGGAAGGTAAGCAGCCAGGGTTTCTGGTGTGCTCTGCCAGCAATCAGGAACCTGGAGTTCTGAACCCTTTCTCCCTACAGCCTCAATGATAGCCTATTTTAGAGTATCCTGACAGTTTGCTAAACACTTAACTCTGTTAATGTATAATTCTTATATTAACAGTGATACGGAATGCACTGTAGATACATAATATCTAAAATTTGGGGCCAGATGTGTCTTGGAATTAAGAGTTAGAGGGATCTTAGAAAAGTAATGCAAGAGCCTGTGCCATATATTATGTAACACTATGTATACCTATGAGCAGGATGTGACGCACAACCACCTAACAAAATACATTACTAATTCTGCAGTGAAATGTCTGCATATTAACACCAAGTGGCACAGGTAAAGCTTATAAATAGTCTCCCATCAGTTGAGGTTTGATATTGTCAACAAATATGTTCACATAAATTTATTTTCTAATAACCATATTACAAAATGCTTCTATTCTACAGAATATTTAACATTAAAATTTCAAGGGGATTGTGTTGTGTGAAGACTCTCCTTTTTATAGAAAGAAAATTGAGACCAAAGTTATTAGATTAAGTGTTAACCCAGACATGTGTGGCAGAGAAATAATTTAAACTTAACCTATTTAACCCTAAAACCTTATCAAATATCTTTAATTGAATAAAATGGACTTTTTTTTTTTTTTTAGAAAGAGGAATGTGAATAGGTGACTAAACTGGGCACCAGAGTCAAGACCAGATACAGAGTATTACCTCAGTATTACATTGATATGATGACTCTCTCAAATGGTTATGTTTTACTCAATTTTCAAGATATATAACAGTCAAAACAAAGTCCTTGAATATATAAACTTGGCTTCTATAAAATAAATATAATTTTGGCCAGGCACAGTGGGTCATGCCTGCAATCCCAGCACTTTGGGAAGCCGAGGCAGGCAGATCACAAGGTCAGAAGATTGAGACCATCATGGCTAACACGGTGAAACCCTGTCTTTACTAAAAATACAAAAAATTAGCTGGGTGTGGTGGTACCCGCCTGTAGTCCAGCTACCCTGGAGGCTGAGGCAGGAGAATTGCTTGAACTCGGGAGGCAGATGTTGCAGTGAGCTGAGGTTGCACCACTGCACTCCAGCCTGGGTAATAGAGTGAGACTCTGTCTCAAAAAAAAAAAAAAAGAAAACCAAAACACAAACAAAAAATATATAATTTTATCTTTTAATCTAAACAGAATATTGCAACAAAAACTATTTGTGGAAATATGGGAACATGGTATTTTGAAAAAAGACCTTGGATAATTGGCTCCTGAATAAAAATGCTTATTCTTTGGAATTTTATTCATTTTATATTAAAAATTTAAATTTGATAGTTCAGGTTTTAGGCTTTGAAATCTATGTCCTGTCAAACACCCGTTTTTCTCTTTGAGCTTCCCAGCTAAGAAACACATACATACACACAATATCACACAAACACATGCATATACCCCAATAGAAAAAGGAAAACAATTTACTAAGTACATAGTAGCTAGTAAAGCATTCTATAATCCCAATGAAGAGCTCAGGTAAAGACTGTTCTAAGGTATAAAACTTAGTTTTAAAGCCTAAATGAGACTTTCAGTTTTATCCATAAATGTAGTGTGGTCAAGTCTACAAACTTTGCCCTGAATCGACTTACCTAGTCAGCCACATGGTTGAGAGTGACTTGTTTGCCTTTAATGGATGAATCTCACTTTCATCTTCTTACCACAAATAAACAAAAAGTGAAAGAGTATGTACACCTCACATAGTGCTTCTATTTTTATGGGCCAAGATGGAAACATGGGCCAGTATTGCCCTCCTTAACAAAATCTTCACTAGGTTTGAGATAAACAGAACTCAAAGGTTTGACTGATGGGCCTCAAGTTGTCAAAATCATATAGGTAGCTAATCAGTTCTACTACACTGTCTAGATAATGTTTCTGAACAGAAAAATTCTCTGTATTATGTGGACTATAAAGACTAATATATGGACTTGTTCTATGTATTTTATAAAAGCATTGGTATACAAATTAAAGTAATAAATAATAACCAGCTTTACTTGATAAGAATAGTTGAATTCTTTTCATAATTCTACTTTCCAGAAGTTATCAAGAAAAAAGAAGCAAAGGGAGTCAAAGGAACACAATGCTTGAGCTTAACATTAAATGTCTAAATAAAGTCTCTGTCTGAAGATGTGCCTATCGAACTTGAGTATTTCTAAACTACACTATATTATTTGCCCAGAATATTTTATGTTCTCCTAAGGCAAATTATGATACTAGCCAAACATGACTCAATAACAGCTTATCAGAAATTTTAATGAGTAATAATTCTTGGTATTCTATAGGCAAACATGACTCAATAACAGCTTTTCAGAAAATTTAATGAATAATCATTCTTGATATTCTATTTAATATGTCATATATGGCCCTTCCACATGATTATTATATTATTGATAATACTATATTCTCTATAATATTATATTATAGACTAGTAGGGATATAACTATATATGTAAAATTATATAATAGTTTACTTGTATAATATTTATAATATGAATTACATGATATATTCAATCTGATCTTTACAACTGTCTAGATTATGTATGTGTGGTGTGTGTGTGTATATGTTCCATTTGATCATTGCAACTCTCAGAAGTAAGAACAGAATTGCACTGCTATTCTACAGATAACTATAAATTGCAGTTAAATAAGTAATTCGATTTTCTCAAAGATACTCACTGTAGCAAGTAGAGGAGTTGTTAGCAGACATGGCCATCACACCCAGCCTAGACTTAGTAAAAGCTCTCGTTCCATAACTTATGTTCTTTCATTCCCAAAATGGTGGGATGAAACCATAAAAGTTGTTCATCTTAATTACAGTTTTTGTAACTTTTTCCTAAGTACCCATATCTGCGAAGACCAGCACTACAAGAATATCTTCTTATGGTTCACATATGCAGTTTGTTGTTTGTTTCCACTGTTGATCTGCTGGTGGGTTACCCAAGATCTTGCATATTTTGCTTATTTATACCATTACTTTACCTTCCTGATAAGTTAATAAAACAATTTTTCATTTAACTTCAGAGATAATTATGTGAATAATATCTCTGAAAATGTTTGCCATTTATCTCAATTCTTTGAGTGAAGATACGATTTTTCAGCCTTCATTTTAATGCTGTTGTATCTATATTGTTATTTTGCTGGTGACTGTCAATCATTTGCAAGTTTAGGAAGCTGGGCCAAGTTCCATTAGGCACTTAGCATTTGGCTGATCTTTTAAATCAAGAGAAAAATGCTTAATAAGTCACTAGAAGAGATTCTTTGCTAGAATTATTCTAATTTTCTCTGTCAGATGAGTTCCTCTCCCTGGATATTTCAATGACCTTACTTTGCTTATTGCAAGGGCATTTTAAAACTTTCATAGACTTGTATAAAATGAATTTCTGTTCCTCTAGCAAAAGTATTCACATTTCTCTTTTGTTAATTAAAACTCCTTTTTATGCAGGTCAGAGGTTGGTTAACCACTATTTAAGCCCATGGTTTTCACCTAATGTGCTGCACATCAGGACTTAACTACTTTATTGATTAAACAAATATTTACTAATCACCTATTATACAATTGTAACAGATATGAAAATCACAGATAACTCTACAGTATAAAAATGTAATGTGCTTTATTTTCTGAACAGAAGATTCACCTGGAGGTTTGATTTCATTTGACCAGAATTCTTAACATCAACAATTTTTGAAAAAAAAAGTCAATAATTTTGATGGAGGATTTTTCCTGGCCCTTTTACCAGACTCATGGCAGAGGCTCCCTCTCTACTTGGCCAGCTGCACTCAACCCCTGCAGGAGGGAACATGTGAGCTCTCAGCAGAAAAGGTAGCTGGAGAGGGGATAAGAAGGGCAGGCCATCTTCCCTGAAGTCAGGTTGTCTCTTTCTTGAAGTCAGATCATCTCTTCCTCTACTGACTGCATCTGGAGTCTTTACAGGCACAGGATGGGGACTACATGCTGATTGACTTGTGAAGATGCAAAAAGAGTTAAAGCAAAGACACCACTCAAAGGTGGGCATGACAGTGTAGAAAACCAATTAGGAATGGATAGGTATATGTAAAATAGGTGAAGGGTGAGAATCAATCAGAGGAAAGCATGCCAAACAAGAAGACAAGTTCTCAATCCAGTCTGAGGATTTAACTTGTAGCTTGGCTTTCAGGCTTTAAACTGTCTTCATCTTGGAGGTGGGGTTTCACTGGCTACCTGGCCCTATCTGCCTAGGCATTTGCCTGCTTCCTCCCACTATCAATTTTTTTTTAGGAATTTTCAGTCATTTAAGATGAGATAAATATTTCTTAATACATCCTTATTCTTAACTATTTATTATAAAATATTTGTACATTTGTAATATATGTAATATTATGTAATAACTATTATGTAATATGTAATCTATAGACCAAAGAATACGCACAACACATATGTAAGTTATAAAGCTAACAATTAAACAATCTTTAACCTATATAAGCTACAGACACCTCAACAAAAACCTACAGAGGGCAAATAAGCATATGAAAAGATGCTCCACATCATATTTCAACAGGGAAATGCAAATTAAAATAACAATGAGACATTAACACACATCAATTAAAGTGGCCAAAATCTGAAACACTGGTAATACCCAATGCTGGCAAGGATGCGAAGCAACGAGTTCTCATTTATTAGTGCTGAGAATGCAAAATGTACCAACCACTTTGAATATGGCTTAGTGGTTTCTTACAAAACTAAACATACTCTTACGGTATGATCCAGCAATCATGCTCTTTGGTATTTACTCAACGAACTTGAAAACTTATGTCCACACAAAAACCTACACATGGTTATTTATGGCAGCTTTATTCATAAATGCCAAAACTGGGAAGCAACCCAGATGTCCTTCAGTAGGTGAATGGATAAACAAACTGTGTTACCTCTGTACAATGGGTTATTATTCAAAACTAAAAGGAAATGAGCTATCGAGCCATGAAAAGACGTGAAGGAACATTAAATATATATTGCTAATGAAATTAGCCAATCTGAAAAGGCTACATACTGTATGATTCTAACTATATGATGTCCCGGAAGAGGCAAAACTGGAGAAACACTAAAAAAAAAATCAGTGCTTTCCAGGCATTTTGGGAAGAGGGGGATGAATAGATGGACCATGGAGGTATTATAGCGCAGTGAAAAGACTCCGTATGATAACTATAATGACAGATACATGTCATTATACATTTGTTCAAACTCATTGAATGTCCAGCACCAATAGTGAACCGTGTGTAAACTATGGACTTCGGGTAATTATGATATGTCAATATAGATTCATCAATTGTAACAAATTTACCACTCTGGTGGGAAATGTTGACAATAGGGGAAGCTATATATGTGTGGGGGCAGGGGATATATAGAAAATCTCTGTACTTTCCTCTATATTTGGATGTGAACATAAAATTCTTCTAAAAATGAAGTCTGCAAAAAATATGCATGAGCTGAAGAAATATTTTACCTATGAGTTTTTACTGAGATATCTACTAGGAGCTAAAATTCATTCAACAAATAGACAATTAGAAAAATTACAGTCAAAAAAATGGACACATTTAATAGCCTTCATTGTAAGAACTAAAACAAAAGCTGTGGTAAGAGTAAGAGAAAATAATATATAAATGTTACATGTTCTGAAAAATAAAATAACATAATTTTGTCACATGTATAAGTTTTATCATATATGTAGATTTGCATGTCCATCACCACAGTCAAGACACAAAATGGCTCCATCACTAGAATCCCTTGTTCTGAGCTTTCATAGGCACAGTCACCCTTTTCTCCACACTGGCAGAAACTATTCTATTTGGAAGTCTTTAAAGCAATAACCAGAAAAAACAGATATTGCCTTAAATATACATATATATTAGTAAATCTTTTTAATTCAGTTTCATAAGGTGGTACTAAAACCCATACAGGAAAATAAATCTGCAGGAATAGCTAGGAAATTCTGAAAATGAAAAGGAGTAAAGGAAGCAATTCTACTAGATATTTAAAAAGACCATACAGCCTCTATAATTAAAAATGTTTCTTTGATATTAACACATGAATAAATGAACACTTAAATGGAATAGGATAGTTCAGAATACGGCAACTGAGTATATGGTAAAACTAGCATTTGAACTCACTACAGTAAAAGTGAACTTTTAAATGCATGCATCTCAGATTTGTCCATTTGAAAAATGAAAAGTTAAATTCATACATCATACCACATACAAAAATATATATGAAAACATATAAGAATTGGGGAAGACAATATAAGTGTAAAAGAGGCTGTTTAATTAGATTTGATAATAAGAAAAGTTTGTTTGTTTGTTTTTATTATTATTATACTTTAAGTTTTAGGGTATATGTACACAACATGCAGGTTTGTTACATATGTGTGCATGTGACATGTTGGTGTGCTGCACTCATTAACTCGTCATTTAGCATTAGGTACATCTCCTAATGCTATCCCTCCCCACTACCCCCACCCCACAACAGTCCCCGGTGTGTGATGTTCCCCTTCCTGTGTCCATGTGTTCTCATTGTTCAATTCCCACCTATGAGTGAGAACATGCGGTGTTTGGTTTTTTTAACTTGCGATAGTTTGCTGAGAATGATGGTGTCCAGCTTCATCCATGTCCCTACAAAGGACATGAACTCCTCATTTTTTATGGCTGCATAGTATTCCATGGTGTATATGTGCCACATTTTCTTAATCCAGTCTATCATTGTTGGACATTTGGGTTGGTTCCAAGTATTTGCTATTGTGAATAGTGCCACAATAAACATACCTGTGCATGTGTCTTTATAGCAGCATGATTTATAATCCTTTGGGTATATACCCAGTAATGGGATGGCTGGGTCAAATGGTATTTCTAGTTCTAGATCCCTGAGGAATCACCACACTGACTTCCACAATGGTTGAACTAGTTTACCGTCCCACCAACAGTGTAAAAGTGTTCCTATTTCTCCACATCCTCTCCAGCACCTGTTGTTTCCTGACTTTTTAATGATTGCCATTCTAACTGGTGTGACATGGTATCTCACTGTGGTTTTGATTTGCACTTCTCTGATGGCCAGTGATGGTGAGCATTTTTTCATGTGTTTTTTGGCTGCATAAATGTCTTCTTTTGAGAAGTGTCTGTTCATATCCTTCACCCACTTTTTGATGGGGTTGTTTTTTTCTTGTCAATTTGTTTGAGTTCATTGTAGATTCTGGATATTAGCCCTTTGTCAGATGAGTAGATTGCAAAAATTTTCTCCCATTCTGTAGGTTGCCTGTTCACTCTGATGGTAGTTTCTTTTGCTGTGCAGAAGCTCTTTAGTTTAATTAGATCCCATTTGTCAATTTTGGCTTTTGTTGTCATTGCTTTTGGTGTTTTAGACATGAAGTCCTTGCCCATGCCTATGTCCTGAATGGTATTGCCTAGGTTTTCTTCTAGGGTTTTTATGGTTTTAGGTCTCACATTTAAGTCTTTAATTCATCTTGAATTAATTTTTGTATAAGGTGTAAGGAAGGGATCCAGTTTCAGCTTCCTACATATGGCTAACCAGTTTTCCCAGCACCATTTATTAAACAGGGAATCATTTCCACATTGCTTGTTTTTGTCAGGTTTGTCAAAGATCAGATGGTTGTAGATATGCGGCATTATTTCTGAGGGCTCTGTTCTGTTCCATTGGTCTATATCTCTGTTTTGGTTCCAGTACCATGCTGTTTTGATTACTGTAGCCTCGTAGTATTGTTTGAAGTCAGGTAGTGTGATGCCTCCAGCTTTGTTATTTTGGCTTAGGATTGACTTGGCAATGCGGGCTCTTTTTTGGTTCCATATGAACTTTAAAGTAGTTTCTTCCAATTCTGTGAAGAAAGTCATTGGTAGCTTGGTGGGGATGGCATTGAATCTATAAATTACCTTGGGCAGTATGGCCATTTTCACAATACTGATTCTTCCTACCCATGAGCATGGAATGTTCTTCCATTTGTTTGTGTCCTCTTTTACTTCATTGAGCAGTGGTTTGTAGTTCTCCTTGAAGAGGTCCTTCACATCCCTTGTAAGTTGGAGTCCTAGGTATTTTATTCTCTTTCAAGCAATTGTGAATGGGAGTTCACTCATGATTTGGCTCTCTGTTTGTCTGTTATTGGTGTATAAGAATGCTTGCGATTTTTGCACATTGATTTTGTACCCTGAGAATTTGCTGAAGTTGCTTATCAGCTTAAGGAGATTTTGGGCTGAGACAATGGGGTTTTCTAGATATACAATCATGTCATCTGCAAATAGGGACAATTTGACTTCCTCTTTTCCTAATTGAATGCCCTTTATTTCCTTCTCCTGCCTGATTGCCCTGGCCAGAACTTCCAACACTATGTTGAATAGGAGTGGTGAGAGAAGGCATCCCTGTCTTGTGCCAGTTTTCAAAGGGAATGCTTCCAGTTTTTGTCCATTCAGTATGATATTGGCTGTGGGTTTGTCATAGATAGCTCTTATTATTTTGAGATACGTCCCATCAATACCTAATTTATTGAGAGTTTTTAGCATGAAGGGTTGTTGAATTTTGTCAAAGGCCTTTTCTGCATCTATTGAGATAATCATGTGGTTTTTGTCTTTGGTTCTGTTTATATGCTGGATTACATTTATTGAATTGCATATATTGAACCAGCCTTACATCCCAAGGATGAAGCCCACTTGATCATGGTGGATAAAATTTTTGATGTGTTGCTGGATTTGGTTTGCCTGTATTTTATTGAGGATTTTTGCATCAATGTTCATCAAGGATATTGGTCTAAAATTCTCTTTTTTTGTTGTGTCTCTGCCAGCCTTTGGTGTCAGGATGATGCTGGCCTCATAAAATGAGTTATGGAAGATTCCCTCTTTTTCTGTTGATTGGAATAATTTCAGAAGGAATGGTATCAGCTCCTCCTTGTACCTCTGGTAGAATTCAGCTATGAATCCATCTGGTCCTGGACTTTTTTTGGTTGGTAAGCTATTAAATATTGCCTCAATTTCAGAGCCTGTTATTGGCCTATTCAGAGATTCGACTTCTTCCTGGTTTAGTCTTGGGAGGGTGTATGTGTCGAGGAATTTATCCATTTCTTCCAGTCTTTCTAGTTTATTGGCATAGAGGTGTTTATAGTATTCTCTGATGGTAGTTAGTATTTCTGTGGGATCGGTGGTGATATCCCCTTTGTCATATTTTATTGCATCTATTTGATTCTTCTCTCTTTTCTTCTTTACTAGTCTTGCTAGCAGTCAATCAATTTTGTTGATATTCTCAAAAAACCAGCTCCTGGATTCATTGATTTTTTTAAAGGGTCTTTTTGTTTCTCTATTTCCTTCAGTTCTGCTCTGATTTTAGTTATTTCTTGCCTTCTGCTAGCTTTTGAATGTGTTTGCTCTTGCTTTTCTAGTTCTTTTAATTGTGATGTTAGGGTGTCAATTTTGGATCTTTCCTGCTTTCTCTTGTGGGCATTTAGTGCTATAAATTTCTGTCTACACACTGCTTTGAATGTGTCCCAGAGATTCTGGTACGTTATGTGTTTGTTCTCATTGCTTTCAAAGAACATCTTTATTTCTGCCTCCATTTTGTTATGTACCCAGTAGTCATTCAGGAGCAGGTTGAACAGTTTCCATGTAGTTGAGCTGTTTTGAGTGAGTTTCTTAATCCTGAGTTCTAGTTTGATTGCACTGTGGTCTGAGAGACAGTTTGCTATAATTTCTGTTCTTTTACATTTGCTGAGGAGTGCTTTACTTCCAACTATGTGGTCAGTTTTGGAATAGGTGTGGTGTGGTGCTGAAAAGAATGTATATTCTGTTGATTTGGGGTGGAGAGTTCTATAGATGTCTATTAGGTCTGCTTGGTGTAGAGCTGAGTTCAATTCCTGGATATCCTTGTTAACTTTCTGTCTCATTGATCTGTCTAATGTTGACAGTGGGGTGTTAAAGTCTCCCATTATTATTGTGTGGGAGTCCAAGATTCTTTGTAGGTCACTAAGGACTTGCTTTATGAATCTGAGTGCTCCTGTATTGGGTGCATATATATTTAGGATATTTAGCTGCTCTTGTTGAATTGATCCTTTTACCATTATGTAATGGCCTTCTTTGTCTCTTTTGATCTTTGTTGGTTTAAAGTCTGTTTTATCCGAGACTAGGATGGCAACCCCTGCCTTTTTTTGTTTTCCATTTGCTTGGTAGATCTTCCTCCATCCCTTTATTTTGAGCCTATGTGTGTCTCTGCACATGAGATGGGTTTCCTGAATACAGCACACTGATGCGTCTTGACTCCTTATCCAATTTGCCAGTCTGTGTCTTTTAATTGGAGCATTTAGCCCATTTACATTTAAGGTTAGTATTTTTATGTGTTAATTTGATCCTGTCATTATGATGTTAGCTGGTTATTTTGCTCGTTAGTTGATGCAGTTTCTTCCTAGCCTTAATGGTCTTTACAATTTGGCATGTTTTTGCAGTGGCTGGTACCAGTTGTTCCTTTCCATGTTTACTGCTTCCTTCAGGAGCTCTTTTAGGGCAGGGCTGGTGGTGACAAAATCTCTCAGCATTTGCTTGTCTGTAAAGTATTTTATATCTCCTTCATTTATGAAGCTTAGTTTGGCTGGATATGAAATTTTGGATTGAAAATTCTTTTCTTTAAGAATGTTGAATATTGGCCCCCACTCTCTTCTGGTTTGTAGAGTTTCTGCAGAGAGATCCGCTGTTAGTCTGATGGGCTTCCCTTTGTCGGTAACCCGACCTTTCTCTCTGGCTGCCCTTAACATTTTTTCCTTCATTTCAACTTTGGTGAATCTGACAATTATATGTCTTGGAGTTGCTCTTCTCGAGGAGTATCTTTGTGGCGTTCTCTGTATTTCCTGAATTTGAATGTTGGCCTGCCTTGCTAGATTGGGGAAGTTCTCCTGGATAATATCCAGCAGATTATTTTCCCACTTGGTTCCATTCTCCCCATCACTTTCAGGTACACCAATCAGACATAGATTTGGTCTTTTCACATAGTCCCATATTTCTTGAAGGCTTTGTTTGTTTCTTTTTATTCTTTTTCCTCTAAACTTCTCTTCATTCTTCATTTCATTCATTTCATCTTCCATCGCTGATACTTTCTTCCAGTTGATCGCATCAGTTACTGAGGCTTGTGCATTCGTCACGTAGTTCTCATGCCATGGTTTTCAGCTCCATCAGGTCCTTTAAGGACTTCTCTGCATTTGTTATTCTAGTTATCTATTAATCTAATTTTTTTTCAAAGTTTTTAACTTCTTTGCCATTGTTTCAAACTTCCGCCTTTAGCTCGGAGTAGTTTGATCTTCTGAAGCCTTCTTCTCTCAACTTGTCAAAGTCATTCTCTGTCCAGCTTTGTTCTGTTACTGGTGAGGAGCTGCATTCCTTTGGAGGAGGAGAGGCACTCTGATTTTTAGAGTTTCCGGTTTTTCTGCTCTGTTTTTTCCCCATCTTTGTGGTTTTATCTACCTTTGTTCTTTGATGATGGTGACGTACAGATGGGTTTTTGGTGTGGGTGTCCTTTCTGTTTGTTAGTTTTCCTTCTACCAGTCAGGACCCTCAGCTGCAGGTCTGTTGGAGTTTGCTAGAGGTCCACTCCAGACCCTGTTTGTCTGGGTATCAGCAGCGGTGGCTGCAGAACAGTTGATACTGGTGAACTGCAAATTCTGCTGCCTGATCGTTCCTCAGGAAGTTTTGTCTCAGAAGAGTACCCAGCCGTGTGAGGTGTCAGTCCACCCCTACTGGGGGATGCCTCCCAGTTAGGCTACTCAGGGTTCAGGGCCCCACTTTGAGGAGGCAGTCTGCCCATTCTCAGATCTCAAGCTGCATGCTGGGAGAACCACTACTATCTTCAAAGCTGTCAGACAGGGACATTTAAGTCTGCAGAGGTTACTGCTGCTTTTTGTTTGTCTGTGCCCTGCCCCCCGAGGTGGCGTCTACAGAGGCTGGCAGGCCTCCTTGAGCTGTGGTGGGCTCCACCCAGTTCAAGCTTCCTGGCTGCTTTGTTTACCTATTCAAGACTGGGCAATGGCGGGTGCCCCTCCCCCAGCCTCACTGCCACCTTCCAGTTTGATCTCAGACTGCTGTGCTAGCAATGAGGGAGGCTCCGTGGGTGTAGGACCCTCCAAGCCACGTGCGGGATATAATGTCCTGGTGTGCCATTTGTTAAGCCTGTTGGAAAAGCACAGTATTAGGGTGGGAGTGACCCGATTTTCCAGGTGCCATCTGTCACCCCTTTCTTTGACTAGGAAAGGGAATTCCCTGACCCCTTGCACTTCCCGGGTGAGGCGATGCCTCACCCTGCTTTGGCTCATGCACGGTGCACTGCACCCACTGTCCTGCAACCACTGTCCGGCAGTCCCCAGTGAGATGAACCCAGTACCTCAGTTGGAAATGCGGAAATCACCTGTCTTCTGCATCACTCACGCTGGGAGCTGTAGACTGGAGCTGTTCCTATTCAGCCATCTTGGCTCCACCCCGAAAAGTTTGTTAAATATATATACATTTATAATGACTTTTGCATAGCAAAAATACCACCGTAAGAAAAGTAACAAAGCAAATGACAGACTGGGAGTAAATAATTGCAACATATAAAATGGGTAAAGGGCTGCTAGAACTAAGATGAAAGAACTCTTAAAAATTCAGGGTAAGAAGAGTAGAGAATGAATCAAGAAATGGGTAAAAAGCAAAACAAAATCTAAGCAATTCACAAAAATATATAAAATGAGACTCCATCTCAAAAAAAAATAAAGAAATGCAAAAAAAGATGTTTGTTTATCCCAAATTTTTCAGAGATAAATTCCCTGGGTTTTTTCAATAGAGCTCTAGCTAGCTATAACATTTACTGAGATTAGAGACTCCCTTGAACAATGAAGACTGTTGTTTGTTGGTGTAAGGATTTTTTGTTTGCTGATTTGAAAAAAATATGATGCTAAAACCACTCCCCTAGGAGAATTGAAACATACTGTAATACTATGCAGTTAGAATAATAATGGAAGCAAGTTTTCAAGCTTCTCCTATTCCCTCTATAGGAGTAATTTATAAAGAAAATATATTCTCAATTGACCACAATCTTCACTTTTGAAAATACATTAAGGCAGATCTCAGACATTAACCTTTTAGAGTTAAGGAGAGATTCAATTAAGTCCATGGACTGAAACCGTTGTAGAGTCAGGGGAAGTCAGGAAATAGTTTCATAATTACACATGGTAGAAGAGAGTGAAGAGGATTAATTGGGGTTAAAGCACATGATATGATGTCCTTTTATGGAGTCTTTCCAATTGCCTCACTGTGATTTTTTTTTTCTACATTGACTCTGAAACAATCCTTTTAAGAATTCTGATGAAGGCATAGTTCAGAGTGAGTGAGCATTCAGCTTCTTATTATTGAAGTGCACTTTACAAAATAGTAAGACATAACTAACCACAAATAAAAATTACATTAAATGTATTATAATTTGCATAATAGCAACATATTAAGGATCATAAAATTAATAATCCTGTATTCACAGCAGTTTAAAAATTAGAATATAAATTTTTTTCAAGCTAATTGTCATGGCCCAATCAAAATCTTTTTATCAACCCAGGATAAAGGGATATTTTGTTGGCTCCACTATCCTCCCTCCTTACTAGTGCCATGCTTCAACAGCTTTCCTTCTATACAATCTACTGTTAATGTGGTAAGTGGCTTATTCTCCTTTACACATTGGAGCAGCCTCATATTGGAGCTGGATACAATGTGATTATTATTGTTAATAATAATGCATTTTGTTTTGAGTAGGAAATAAATCCATAACTTCTTTGACCATTAATCTAATTTAAATTTGAGTCAGCTCAAACTGGGTTATTCCCTGAATACACAGACACCTGAAAAAAAAATTAGAAACTCAGAATTGGTCTAATTCCTATTTCCATAGCAATCGAGAAAATTTGATTGAAGAGTTATGGCTTACACTGTGACCTGAAGGGCAAAGCTCTGGTGAATTTCAAAACACATTATAACATTCGTGCTTCTTCATGCCAATTTCACTACCTTTAGTTAGAAAAATCCCAAAACTATTTTACATATATATACCAAATAATGCATAAACATTTAAACCACCAACCAGATGCAGTCCTTGGCAGGTAGAATCATCACAATAATGATAAACTTCACTTTGAGTTAAAACTCAAATCTTAATAGTTGGAGAAGGAAGAAAAAAGCAGTTTTTCTCTTTTGCTCCTCTACAAATTATGCAAACAGAAGCACGTACAGAAGTGATTTTTCTCACCACTGATCACTTTTGACACCTGCATATCTCACTACGGATCACTTTTGACGCCATATTTTAACAAGGATAAAAAAAATTTTGTGTGTGTGTGTGTGTTTGTGTGTGCATGTTTCAATCTAACCACTTTTTAACAATTAAGTGACAATGTTTGTTTCTAAGGAATAGGTGAAGGGATTTTTATTAGCAGAAATCCAGTATGACTAACAACATGGCTCACCAAATCCAGCAGTAGCAATTGGTTCAGTGCCCAACTGTCAAGTAATGGGAAATAGTCACTGAACAATCAACTTTAAAATAGCAAAAGAAAAGAAGAAGGATATAGTGTTTAGATTAATGCAAAAGACATCCACCTCACCTTTTTCTCTCTTGCTAAAGTATATTTTATTAGTTATATATAATTATTTTTATCATCTCAATAATGCACTTTTATTTAAGTGTGGCTGGCAGGTCTATGTGTGTTTTTTCTTATTTCCGTAGGTTTTTGGGAAACAGGTGGTGTTTGGTTACATGAATAAGTTCTTTAGTGGTGATTTCTGAGATTTTGGTGCACCAATCACCTGAGCAATATACAGTGTACCCAGTTTGTAGTCTTTTATCGCTCACCCCTCTCCTATACTTTCCGCTGAGTCCCCAAAGTCCATTGTATCATTATTATGCCTTTGCATCCTCATAGCTTAGCTCCTATTTATGAGTGAGAACATACAATGTTTGGTTTTCCATTCCTGCATTACTTCACTTAGAACAAAGGTCTACGATTTCATCCAGGTTGCTGTAAATGCCATGAGTGTGTTCCTTTTTATGGCTTAGTAGTATTCCATTACTATATACATTACATATATACGTGTGTGTGTGTGTGTATGTGTGTATATATATATGTATATATGTTTCCACTCCTTGATTGATGAGCATTTGAGCTGGTTGCATATTTTTTCAATTGAGAATTGTGCACTATGAACATGCATGTGCAAGTATCTTTTTCACATAATGACTTCTTTTCCTCTGGGTTGATACTCAGTATTGGGATTGCTGGATCAAATGGTAGTTCTACTTTTAGTTCTGTAAGGAATCTACGCCCTGTTTTCCATAATGGTTGTAGTAGTCTGCATTCCCACTAGCAATGTAAAAGTGTTCCCTTTTCACCACATCCCTGCCAACATCTGTTATTTTTTGATTTTTTAATTATGGTCATTCTTGTAGGAGTAAGGTGGTATTGCATTGTGGTTTTGATTTTCATTCCCCCGATCATTAGCAATGTTGAGCATGTTTTCATATGTTTTTTGGCCATTTGTATATCTTCCTTTGAGAATTGTGTATTCAGTCCTTAGGCCACTTTTTGACGATTTTTTTTTCTTATTAATTTGTTTGAGTTCCTTGTAGATTCCAGATATTAGTCTTTGTTGGAGGTAGAGGTTGTGAAGATTTTCTCCCACTCTGTGGGTTGTCTGTTTACTCTGCTGATTGTTTCTTTTGCTGTGAAGAACCTTTTTAGTTTAAGTCCCATCTATTTGTTTTTGTTGCATTTGCTTTGGGTTCTTGGTCATAAAGTCTTTGCCTAAGCCAATGTCTAGAAGGGTTTTTCCACTGTTGTCTTCTAAAATTTTTAGAATTCTAGAAGCTCTGGTGAATTTTGAAACACATTATAACATTCATGCTTCTTCATGCCAATTTTTCTACCTTTAGTTAGAAAAATCCCAAAACTATTTACATATATATACCAAATGATGCATAAACATTTAAACCACCAACCAGATGGTGGTTTAGAATTTTAGAAATTTTAGAATTCAGGTATTAGACTTAAGACTTTGATGCATCTTGAGTTGTTTTTTGTATAAGGTGAGAGATGAGGATCCAGTTTCATTCTTCTATACGTGGCTTGCCAATTATCCCAGCACCATTTGTTGAATAGGGTGTCCTCTCCCAACTTTATGTTTTTGTTTGCTTTGGCAAAAATCAGTTGACCCTTAGTATTTGGCTTTATTTCTGGATCCTCTACTCTGCTCCATTGGTCTATGTGCCTATTTTTTTACCAGTACCATGCTGTTTGGGTAATTATGGCCTTATGCTATAGTTTGAAGTCAGGTAATGTGATGCCTTCATATTTGTTCTATTTGCTTAGTCTTGGTTTGGCTATGCAGGCTCTTTTTTGGTTCCTATGAATTTTTGGATTGCTTTTCTAGTTCTATGAAGAGTAATGGTAGTATTTTGATGGCAATTGCATTGAATTTGTAGATTGCTTTCAGCAATATGATCATTTTCACAGTATTGATTCTACCCCTTCATGAGCTTGGGCTATGTTTCCATTTGTTTGTATCATCTGTGGTTGCTTTCAACAGGGTTTTGTTGTTTTCCTTACAGAGGTCTTTCACCTGCTTGGTTAGGTATATTCTTAAGTATTTTATTGTAATTTTTGCAGCTATTGTAAAAAGGTTTGTGTTCTACTTTTCAGATGTGTAATTTACATTCAGTAAAAGTCACTCAAAAATGTATAGAGTTGCATGAAAATTTTAACAGCTTTATTGAATTGTAATTGACAAAAAGTAGCACATGTTTAAAGTAGACAATTTGATGTTTTGACATATGTGTACATCCATAAAAGCATCACCATAATCAAGATAATGAACATATATGTTATTCAACTGTCTTCTCATGCCTTTTTGTAATCTCATTCTCTTATCTATGCTTGCCCCCACTCCAATCCTCAAGCATCCACAACACTATTTTATGTCATTATAATACTTTTTAGAATTTTAGATAAATGGAATCACACAGTATGTAGTACTTCTTTGTATGGCACCTTTCACTTGGCATAATTATTTTGAGATTCATGCATGTTATTGCAGTTATTAATAGTCTTCCCTTCTAATTGCCTAATTGCTGAGTGATATTCCATTGCAAAGAAATATTATAATTAATGTATTCACTTACTGATGAAAAAATGTTTATAGAATTGCTAAGAACATTCATGTGTAAGTCTTTTAATGGACATTTGCTTTTATTTCTCTTAGTTATATATACTTATAAGTAAAATTTGAATTTTTCCTAATGAATAAAATACTGAGTATCATTTTATGTGCTTACTTGCTATTGATATATCTTTCTTCATCAAATATAAGTTCAAATAACTAGCCCTTTGTTGATTATGTTTTTATAACTGAGTTTTAAGTGTTGTCTATATATTTTGGATACAAGCCCTTTATCAAATACATGAATTGCAAATATTTTCTTCTTGTCTGTGGCTTGTCTTTTAATTTTCCTAACAATGTCTACTAAAGAGCAGAAGTTTTAATGCTCAATGAAGTCCAATTCATCAATTATTTTTTATGGATATGTTTTAGTTTGTTATCTAAACACTGCCCCCTTCTTTTTTGAGAGCAGCAGTTTTGTATTGATTAGACTACTGTATGTTATGTCATAAGAAATCTACCACATATCAGAGGTTTATTAAATAAAAGCTCATTTGTTGACAACAATACAAGTAGAACATGAAACACCAGAAAGCTGCGCTCCCAACAATAGTGCACAGCAATGAAGACTTCATCTCAAAATGCAGTAGGAAGTGATAATGAGGAATTATGCACCGTCATTCATAAGTGACACGTGTCACATCCACTTATTTTGAGTTGGCCAAAGCAAATCATAGAGAAATCCATTCTGGCAATTAGAAGTCTTTCACACTTTAATTCTAAGTCAATCCTCAGGCTCTAGAATACACTCAAATATGCATTGCATGCTAAGACTGGACAGACCTCAGCAGAGGAATCTCTTCCAACATTCCTTTTAGGGCCAAACACAAAGGACAATGGATAAAGTAGAACCTACTAGGGGGCAAAACCTATGACCTCTAGGAAGACTGGCATTAATGCAATTGTTTCCTTATATGCCTGTCCAATAGCACAGCAAGCAATTTATTGAAGATATTCTGTACTTTTTTCACCACAAATTGTTGCAGATATCAGGAGTGGATAAATTGATTGTAGTATACTGACTATCTGGATCTTAAATCATGAAAACTCTATCTCTAAGACATCCTGGGTATGCTACGGTGGCTACAGTGGAGAGGAGAGTGGATTGATTTTTGTGTGTGTGTATATTTTTTCTAATCTAAGGAAAGGTCATTTGTGAAATTCTGTGAATTGAAAGAAGAGTGGGAAACTAATGGGAGGGATGTAATTATAGATGCTTGCTTTTATATTCGTCCTTACTTTTGGTAATAGCCTACACCTTTATTTGGAGAAACTGTCCTTCCTCACTGCAGGCTTTGACTCCTTCATGACAGGGGATCATTTGTGTAATTAACGATTCTTTTCTTCTGCTCCCAGTGACTGAACCAGGAATAGTCCCGTGAATCATATCAAGTCAAACAGAAGCCTTCTGTGGAATTGTCTATGTAGGTGCTGAGAGGGAAATGTTATATTTTCTCTGGGACTGCTAAACTTGGCTGTCACATGTCTTCTGCTATCTGTACCTCCATTTGTCTTCAACAAAACTACATGAAGAAAGCCCATATGTTTGTTTTAAAGCATAAAGAGAACACCTAGAAGGAAATATATCTAAGAAATTAAGAAAGAGAAGGAGGAATGGAAGGCAGAAGAAAGAGATAGAAACACCTGATGGTATTATTTGAGTTTATGAAGTCTCTGGGGTCACTTAGTATCTTGAGTTTTCTATTACTTGTTATAAGAGATGAGATCTCCCTCCCCAACACACACAAGCCTCATTTATTCTAGTTTACATATTTTATCACTGAAAGGAATCTGCCTAGCACACTAAGGTTGTCACAAGAAGAATAAAAGTTGTGTGTGTGTGTGTGTATACATGCATATACATGTATATATACACCCAGGTATACACACACACACACACACACACACACACACTGCCTGCCTTTTTTGGTAATCAATATATTTAGTTAAAGCCATTAGCTTCTGTTCAGCTCTTATTCAATAAACAAATAATACATACACAAACCCATTCATGCAACACAATATCTTAAAACATTTTCCAAGTGGCAGAGTTAGAATAGTGCAAATTTAGCATGGTTATAAATGTGGATACACCATATATACTGTGCTAGACCTTCATCCTTCCCATTTGAAGGTGATTTTCAATGAACAAGCACTTGTTTCCGTTTTGATGACTATCAAATGAAGTCATCAAATGGTTGAAGATGGGTTAATTTCCATAAATGATTATCATCAATGCAGGTGGCAGAGCCAGCCTATGCCACAGGCAACGTTGAATTCCTGCCTGAATTGAGATATTCATCACTGTGTTCTGCCTGTTCATGTCTCTGTCAACAAATGAAGGTCATGATAATCCCTCCAATTTGTACTAACAGAAAATGTGCATACAACAAGCAATCTGAAAGATAAATATGAAATGTGAGGAAGCACGTCAGGTGCACTATTGCAGGATTGAAATCTAATTCTGCCACTTTTATCTCTGGTTAATTTATGGAAAAGAGAGTGAAGGGAAGGAAGGTGGTTGGAGACTCTCTTTTATTGAATACTTACTATGGCCAGATTCCTTAAATAATAATTTCACATATATTTTCTTACTAATTCATCACAACATCCCTTAAATAAGGCAATATTTTTTATAATGCAAGTGTTTTTTATTTCAATAGTTTTGGGGGTACAGGTGGTTTTCAGTTACATAGATAAGCTGTTTAGTGGTGATTTAGGAGATTTTAGTGCACCTGTCATGTAAGCAGTGTACCCTGTACCCAATATGTAGTGTCTTATCCTCACCCCACTCCCAGCCTTCCTGTCTGAGTCCCCAAAGCCCATTGTATCATTCTTATGCTTTTGCATCCTCATAGCTTAACTCCTGCTTACAAGTGAGAATATACAATATTTGCATTTTCACTCCTGAGTTACTTCACTTAGAATAATGGCCTCTAGCTCCATCCAATTTATTGCAAAAGACATTATTTCATTCCTTTTTAATAGCTGAGTAGTGTTCCATGCAGTATATATACCACATTTTCTCTATCCACTCATTGGTTGATGGGCACTTAAGTTGGTCCATATCTTTGCAATTGTGAACTGCGCTGCTATAAACATGCATATACATGTGTCTTTTTCATATAATGATTTCTTTTCCTTTGGGTAGATACCCAGTATTGGGATTGCTGGATCAAGTGGTAGTTCTACTTTTAGTTCTTTACAAAACTCTAAACTGTTTCCATAGTAGTTGTTAATTTACATTCCCACCAACAGTATAAAAGTGTTCCCTTTTCACTACATCCACACCAACATCTGTTGTTTTTTGACGTTTTGATAATGGCCATTCCTGCAAGAGTAAGGTGGTATCTCACTGTGGTTTTAATTTGCATTTCCCTGATGATTCATGATGTTGAGCATTTTTTCATGTTTGTTGGTTGTTTGTGTATCTTCTTTTGAGAAATATCTATTCATGTTCTTTGCCTAATTTTGATGGGATTATTTCTTTCTTGCTCACAGATTTCTTTGAGTTCCTTGTAGATTCTGGATATTAGTCATTTATTGGATGCATAGTTTATGAATATTTTCTCCCACTTTGTGGGTTGTCTGTTTACTCTGCTGATTATTTCTTTAGCTTTTTAGTTTAATTAGGTCCTATTAGTTTACTTTTGTTTTGTTGCATTTACTTTTGGGGTAATATTAATGAATTCTTTGCCTAAGCCAATGTCCTGAAGAGTTTTTTCCCATGTTATCTTCTAGAATTTGCATAGTGTCAAGTCTTATATTTAAATCTTTGATCTATATTGAGTTGATTTTTGTATAAGGTGAGAGATAGGGATCCAGTTTCATACTTCTACATCTGGCTTGCCAGTCTTCCCAGCACCATTTGTTGAGTAGGGTGTCCTTTTCCCAATTTATGTTTTTGTTTGCTTTGTCAAATGTCTGTTGACTGTAAGTATTTGGCTCTCTATTCTGTTCCATTGGTCTACATGCCCATTTTTATACCAGTACCATGTTGTTTTGGTAATTATAGCCTTGTAGTATAAGTTGAAGTTGGGAAATGCAATGCCTCCAGATTTCTTATTTTGGGTTAGTATTGCTTTAGCTATGTAGGTTCTTTTTTGGTTCCACATGAATTTTAGAATTTTTTTCTAGTTCTGTGAAGAATGATGGTGGCATTTTGATGGGAATTGCTTTGAATTTATAGATTGCTTTTGGCAATATGGTCATTTTCACAATACTGATTCTTATCATTAATGAGCATGAGATGTGTTTCCATTTGTTTGTGTCATCCATGGTTTCTTTCAGCAATGTTTTACAGTTCTCTTTGTAGAGATCCTTCCCTTCCTTGGTTAAGTATATATTCCTAGGTATTTTATTTGATTTTATTTTCCAGCTGTTGTAAAAGGGATTGAGTTCTCAATTTCATTCTCAGCTTGGTCAATGTTGGTGTATAGCAATGCTAGCATTTTTTGTACATTGATCTAATAACCCGAAACATTACTGAATTAGTTTATCAAAAAAAAGGAGCTTTTTGGATGAATCTTTAGAGTTTTCAGGTATACAATCATCACTGGCAAACAGCGACAGTTTGACTTCCTCTTTTCCAGTTCGGTTGCCCTTCCTTTCTTTCTTTTTTTTTAATTTTACTTTAAGTTTCAGGATATAGTGCAGAATGTGTGGTTTTGTTACACAGGCATACATGTGCCACAGTGGTTTGCTGCACCTATCGACCTGTCATCTAGGTTTTAAGCCCCAAATGCATGAACTGTTTGTCCTAATGCTCTCCCTCCCCTCACTTCTCACCCCCCGACTGGTCCAGGTGTGTGTCGTTCCCCTCCCTGTGTCCATGTAATCTCACTGTTCAACTCCCACTTATGAGTGAGAATATGCAGTGTTTGGTTTTCTGTTCCTGTGTAAGTTTGCTGAGGATGATGTCTTCCAGCTTTATCCATGTCCCTGCAAAGGACATGATCTCATTCCTTTTCATGTGGATAATTTTTATTTTTTTCTCTTATCTAATTGCTCTTGCTAGGACTTCCAAAACTGTATTGATTAGAAGGGGTGGACATGAGCATCCTTGTCTTGTACCAGTTCTTAGGGGGAATGTTTTCAACTTTTCTACATTCAGTATGATGTTGGCTGTGGGTTCGTCATATATGGCTTTTATTAACTTGAGGTAAGTTCCTTCTATGCCTATGTTGTTGAGGGTTTTATCACAAAGGGATGCTGGATTTCATCAAATGCTTTTTCTGTATCTAATGAAATGATCATATAGCTTTTGTTTTTCATTCTATCTCTGTGATGTATCACATTTATTGACCTGCTTAAGTTGAACTATCCATGCATCCCTGGGATAAAACCAATTTGATCATAATGTATTATCTTTTTGATGTGTTATTGGATTCAGTTGGCATTTTGTTGAGAATTTTTGCATCTATGTTCATCAGGGATATTGGTCTGTAGTTTTCCTTTTTCATATGTCCTTTCCTGGTTTTGTTATTAAGGTGATACTGGCTTCGTAGAATTATTTAGGGAGGATTCTCTCTGTCTCTATATTTTGGAATAGTTTCAGTGTGACTGGTACCAATTTTTCCTGAATGCCTGGTAGAATTCAGCTGTGAATACATCTGGTCCTAAGCTTTTTTTGTTTACTTTATTATTATTATTATTATTACTGATTCAATCTTGCTGTTTGTTATTAGTCTGTTCAGGGATGATAATTCTTCCTGTTTTAATCTAGGAGGGTTGTATGTTTCCAGAAATTTATCCATTTCCTCTAGATGTTTTAGTTTGTTCATGTAAAGGTGTTACTAGTAGCCTCAAATGATCTGTTGTATTTCTGTGGTGTCAGTTGTAATATCTCCAGTTTTGTTTCTAATTGAGCTTATTTGGATCTTCTCTCTTCTTTTCTTTGTTAATCTCATGAATGGTCTATAAATTTTGTTTGTCTTTTCCAAAGAACCAGCTTTTTGTTTCATTTATCTTTTGTATTTTTTAATTTCAATTTTGCTTAGTTCTATTCTGATCTCTGTTATTTCTTTTCTTCTGTTGGGTTTGAGTTTAGTTTGTTCTTCCTTTTCTAGTTTCTTGAGGTGTGACATTATGTTGTCAATTTGTGCTCTTTCATACTTTTTGATGTCGGCATTTAATGCTATGAACTTTCCTCTTAGCACTGCTTTTTCTGTATCCCAGAGGTTTTGATAAGTTTTGTAACTATATTCCATGCAAATGGAAAAGCAAACAGAAGTAGCTATTCTAAGACAAAACAGACTTTAAAGCAACAACAGTTTAAAAAAAGATAAAGAAAGACATTGTATAATGATATAAGGATTAGTCCAACAAGAAGATATTACAATCCTAAATTTATTTACATCTAACACTGGAGCTCCCAGATTTATAAAATGATTACTACTATACCTAAGAGATGAGGTAGACAGTGACACAATAGTAGTGGATACCTTCAATACTCCACTGACAGCACTAGACAGATAATCAAAACAGGAAGTCAACAAAGAAGCAATGGACTTGAAGTGTACTCTACAACAAATAGACTTGATAGATATTTACAAAACATTCTTTCCAACAACTGCAGAATACACATTCTTATCAGCACATGGAATATTCTCCAAGATAGATCATATCATAGGCCACAAAATCAGTCTCAATAAATTTAAGAAAATCAAAATTATATCAAGTATCTCAGACCACAGTGGAATAAAACTGGAAATCAACTCCAAAAACAACCCTCAATAGTACACAAACACATGAAAATTATATAATGTGCCCTTGAATGATTTTTAGGTTAACAATGAAATCAAGATGGAAATTATCTATTTTTTTGAAGAGAAAATAAGATGCGCAGAAACAAGAAGGTATGAGAGAGCATTGTGTTATACCTAGTGCATTTTATTTTCATTTTTAGTTGAGTAATTGCAGGATGACCCATCTCATATAGCTGGTTTTAGCGCTGGGTAGCATGACTTTCTGAGACACCTGAGAAATTTCTTCTGTTCTACTTCCACTGCACTGCATTTATGTATCTATATAAAGCAAGCTGTATTATCCTGAAGAGTCTGAATGTGATATTGGTGCTGGAATGTACTGCGTCCTGCAACCATATTATCGATCTAGTAATCAATCTTTGGACCTGATTGTATGTGCTTGACCATAACCATTAAATTTGAAACATATTAAAGCATCAGACAATAACAAAACCTCAGTCTATAGTCAACATTGCAATTAAAGTATAAAGACAATCCAAAGAATATACTTCCTAAATTATTTGTTTTCTAATCAATGTATTCATTTATGATTCAGCACCTACTTCATATCTTGCCTATGTTCTTTTTCTCAATAAATGCACAAACTACAACCAGAGGAAGAAGAAAATCTTTCTTTGATTAAGTATAACTTTATCTCAGGATTAACATTTTTCTGACCTGCTTTGAAGAGAGAGGAAGATGTGTGGCATATGATTTGGGAAATGATTTTTAAATGTCATATTTGCTCAAGTAAGACAGATGAGGTGCTATGCATTTATCTGTGATTAGAGGTTCTCATTTGACCAAGAAATAATTTTGAAGAACTTAAAAACACTTGAAGCTACACAGCAGCATTGTTCACAGTGGCACATGATGAATAATGCTACGGCTTACTTCAGTCTGTCTTTGGCTTGCTTTGAATGACTAGAGTTGAATCTGCAAAAGGAAGTCAAACTTATGAAATTTCATGACAATGCAAATACCTTACTTTACTAAATCAAATAACTTAACATCCAGGTTTGCATAAACTACAAACAAGCAGATGATGATTACTTACAAAACATTTGTATTAAATATCTTTAAGACAGTCATTGCCATTTTCCATTCATAAAGTTACAACTGTTCAAAAAGTAATTGTATTTTTTTAATCCTTCTGGACTCCACTCTATTATAAAGGCAGGCAACCATATAATTCAATGTACTAAAGTTTGGTGTTGAAAACAAGTGTATTTACCCTTTAAAGGCAAACTCATTTTGAGAGAGATAATTAGTAATTTTAGGAATAAAATTTCCCCTACTATAGTTACCAATGTGCATTTAGAAGCACTTTTACAATTTGATAAGAAAAATGATTTACATCATCTTTCCTCAATTTTTCCCACAGAGGTATGTTCAGACAGTTTAGATGACATGTTTGCCTTTATTAAAGTATACTGTAGTAAATCCTAATCATATTATTTCTGTTACATGCAGAATATAATTACTTATTCATCAAGATGGCATGGATCTGACTCTTACAACTAAGAGCCTTTGGAGTCTCTTCAAGTTCTGCAATTTGTTTTCCTCTTTTAGTATCTGAGAGGAGGTAAAACTTTTTGTGACATCAGAGCCCTGAAAGAGAAATAAGTAAATCGTTTAGTCAAATTCCAGGTCCTTTAGAATGATCAAAGTTATTTTGCCCTCAGTGGCTATATATTGGGCCTGGCTCTGGTTTTTGCTTCTTGTTTTTAGATGGCCAGAGCAGGAAAGTGGCCAGAGCCTCTTATTGCATGGAGAAAACCAGAATGCAGCTTTCTTGTTCTTTCTCTCCCACCTTGTTACAGGAGTGGCTAGCTGCTTAGGGCCTGTTCCTTGATAAAAGACAGAGAATATTCTCTCTTCTGTCCATGGAGAATGGCAAGATGCCAAGAAAAAACGCTGAACTTAGAAGGGAGGAAAGGGGCTGCTTGAGTCTATAATTGGCAGCATAATCTAGACTAGGTATATTGATTGAATCCTCTGAGAACCGGAGTAAAAAGTGCATAAGATTTATTGGGGGTAGTTTCAGTAACAGATAAAGAGGAAAAGGAACAGTACTGACAAGAAAAGCATTTATATTTGGATGTTGAAAGGAGAAGGGGGAGAAAAGAGCATCAGTTGGAAAAATCTCAGACCATATAGCAGTTCCGGGAAAGGCTCAGCCAGCCCAGTGAGATCTGGCACAAATATTGTCCATAGAAGAATCCTGCAAATAGGCAAAAATGGCCATGCCGGAGTGCCATCACTGTACTTTGTCATTTGTTGGAAGCTTCCTAGGGAAAGAGTGGCCTTGGTTCCAGTGGTGCAGCAGACCCTGAGGCACTGCAGCTGGAAGCTCTGAACCAGCTGCATCCCTTGCAGCTAATTATTAAGTTCTTTCTGAAAGGGATATCTGAGCAGTCTGCCTGTATGGCTGACCAATCACCTTACCAGAATTCTCTGCTTTGGACTTGGGCACAATCCTAGTTAATGACCACGTTACTTTTAAAACAAAACAAACAAACAAAAAAAAACCATGTTTCTCGTTTTTATACTTCTTCAAGGACAGGATTCAGATACTCCTCTGTCTCTTTATCATATCTCAAAGCTCCTAAAACCCATCATGATTTCTAATGATTATGCGTTCTTATTTCTCATATCTCCCATAAGCTCCTTAAAATTTAATTAATAATACCTATCAGTTTACTTCATATGGAACACATTATGTAAAGTAATCAGGAAATTATATTATGCAATAGTTCAGATATTTTATTTTTCAATATTTTATGCCCTTTTGGACCATATTCTACTGAAAATACCCTGTGACCCATGTTATAAACACATGGATGGGTGGACAGATAGATTTACCTGTATGTTTTTTTCGTGAAACCATAATTAACTATTTAATATTTTCTGTTCATTGTTATTATTCTATATTTTTTAAAAAATCTGGCTATAACTTGTCATTATTTTAACTCATGGTTTGGTAAATAGTAACAATACTATAAAATATTCTTGAATGGGAAAATATTTATGAATACTTTAAAATGCATTGGAGCTCTCTTTCTTCCACCTCTTTCTCTTTCTATTTTCTTGCTTCCTTTCTCTTTATTTCTCTTCCCTTTCCTAATATTTCATTCCTAAAGGCATCATGGAAGACAGAGCAAGGTAGACATCTACATGGGTAGAGGAGAGAGACAAGAACTACGGTCGCCCAGAGCAGAGTGTCTGAGCCCAAGCATGGTGGACACTACTTAGGAATGCTCCCTAATAGAGGCTGTCAAAGGCTGAAAGAAGCAAGCAAAGCCCAAGAAAGGTGAACAAAATGTTTGCATAGGAGGACTCCACAGTGTGAGGCTTCCAAGAACAAAGTATTGAGGAAGATGTTCACAAATGGGAGTGACCTCACTTGTGGTGCGAGAGCACTAGCAGATCAAAAAGGGAAAAACACAAGGGGACTCCCCAGTGGTATGAGAATGGTGTCACTGTGACAGGGCTGGCTTTGTGTGGTGTGGCAGAGCCCAAGGGGAAAGAGGAGGGCTTTCATAGGTTGGGAAGGTTCAGCACGAGGTGTCAGAACTCAAACAGAGTGAGAAGGAAATCCATGCCGACACATAGCTTCCTATGAAGTGTTGAAGTCTGTGGGTTCATAAGGGCATCTCCTTGAAGAGGTAGTTTTCATATGGTGTCAGAGGCTTACAATGGTGCATTTGATATCTGTGCATCATGCAATGGAGTGATAAAGTCTAAATAGGATGAGGTAAGTGTTCTTACATTGGGGTAGCCAAATACAAAAGGTCAGACTCCAAATGTAGTGAGGTATGGGTCTACACAAGGGAATTCTGGCATGAGTGTTGGAATAAGGAGGGCATTTATATGAAGGAATAGGTGGTAATGAAGATGGAAGATTTGTTCCTTACAAAGGAACTGATAAAATTAGTAAATATGATAAAGAGTTAAAAGAATATTAGTAAATATCATAAATATAAACCGGGGTTCTCACTGTCAGAAAAGAGAATTCAAATATAAAAAGGGAGAGAAACAGAATGAACCCTGTAGTGGTGGATTGTAATTGGAAGAATTAATGTAAAGTCATGGTTTTCACAAATATGAATATATAAAAGCCAATATAGATGTAAATATGTGTACACATACATATATTCATATATGTACATACATATATTTCCTAGCTTTATCTACTTGAAGGGCCTAGGAGTGACAACACGCAATATCAATGAGCACACCTGGCACCTAGAGCTTGGTTCTGTATAGCATTCTTCACTAAAAGGAAGCAAGAATTCTTAAAGACATGGCCAATTCCAGGAGCGAGGCAGGGAAAGTACAAGATGAGCCAGAAATATCTCGTTATGTCAGACAGCAAGAAAATGCTAAAAGAATTATGACACTACAGCAGAAGGACAGAGAAGCTAGCTTGAATGGACTAGCTCTACTTAAACCAAAGGTTAATTTTAGCATCAAAATATGTAATGATAGTAATAGATTATAACTCACTGCATACACTAGGAAACCTTGAGGTCACATATTTATAAATAAAAAAATAAAAGAAGAAATTTTCCTCTTGATGAGGAACAGGATATTTATTTAGTGTCAAGGTGTTTTACCCACCAGAAATTAATAATTTCAAAAGAAAAAACAGTGTAAAAGATTGGTAGACATTATGTTAATCAAGTGACAAAGTGAACATCATCATTAATGGGACTAAATTTAAGTACTATGCACCTGACAGAATGCAATGAGAACAGCACAGCATCACTTCTGTGATATTCCTGCCAGAGGTGAATATCTTAAATCAGATCCTGAAGAAATATCATATATACCCAAATTAAGAAACATTTTTCAAAACTACTCATGAATATTCCTCAGAAGGATGAGGATCAAGGAAGTCAAGGGAAGAATAACTGCTCTGGACTGAAGGAGACTAAGGGGACATGTTGGGTCAATGCAATGCTTGATTCTGAACTGCAACTTATGCTTATAAAAGATATAATGAGGACGATTGGAGAAACATAAATGGAGTTTGATGATTAGATGGTAATACTCTATTGAGTTAATTTCCTAATTATGATTTCATTTTATTGGTCAAAGCACATCACATAGCCAAGCTATGTGGCATGGGAAAGTATAATCCTGCCACAAGTAGGCACTGAAAGTGTTACAGTGGTAGTGGAGATACATAATTTTTTAAGAAGCAAGACAGAATAATTTTAAAAATGAAAAATCTAGGTTGAGAAGGCACCACGTAGATCAGGATTTTGACCATGTAAAGCTTTGAAATGTCTATTGAATATTCAAAGGATATTTAACAAATTATTACTTGTTTTGTATTATATAATTTGATGAAGCTCTCTACAGTGTCTCTGTAGTGGTTGGCTCTATACCTTAGGGACCAAGCTTCTGTTTTGCAGTCATAATCCAGAAAATCCCAATTCAGATGTTTAAACTTTGTCTAAAGCAAGCCATTTTGATTTCCTGATTCTGAACCATATTTTGAAAATAATGAACATCAAATAAATTGTTAAATTAACATGCTGTGACCTCTTAGCCGTACTACAAGGCATCTTTGTAGATGTACCAAAAGATCTACACATCTGGTTTGTGCCTGAATGCTTAGTCTGCTTCCTTCCATTGATGTGCCACCAGTAAGCCTATCAATTTCCTCTCTATTCAGGGCTCTTTAGGGCTCTCAGTCTCTTCAGCTTTTACACCCATCACTATCTAAGCTGGCCCACATAGCTGATCATTTCAGCTACATTCATACCAGCACCTCCATGTTCTTTCACTTGCATGACTCTAGTATGTGTCCAGCTTCTTCCACACCAAGTAAGTTTGGATATGTTTCCTTTCACCTAGTCCTTCCAGATGATGATTTTTTTTTCTTTTAGGAAAAATAAAGCATCGTACTTCCAACTAGGTATATTAAAAATTTGTGTTATTCAAAATCAGGTAGGGCTAGATAAGATCCAGATTTATTTTTGAATCCTGGCTTGCCTTATAAGTATTCTGAGCCCTATAACTAAGATGGGAAAAAAGTAATCATTATTTAAGTAGAGTATTTTAGATTATTTGACACTTCTGAAAATATTTGAGAATATTGTCATCTGTTTGTTGGCCTTCAAATACACAGATGAATTGTAAATTAAAGGCTTTCTATACTTCAAATCACAAATATATTGCTTCTTGATTTATAAAATTCCTAGAGGTCTGTAGAACATGAGTCCACACATTGTTCTAGATATTCAAATTTCTATCCCTAGAGTAGCATGGACCAATAGAAGTCTGAGTATTTACAAATAGATCATCTTACATAAATTTTATTCACTATTTTTATTGGGCTTTGGCAAACTGTCCTCAGTTCTCATGGGTAAATGCTTCTAAAAACAACCTTATGAAGACTACAATAATATATGTTTTAAGGATACATTTGAGGTTATGTTTATTATTTCACTTTTGCGTATCTATATAAATCCTTAAGTGAGAAATATCTGTTAGAATGAGCTACCATGAAATAGCTTCCCATGAGAAACTTGTATGTTTTCTCTTGGTGAAGAGTAAGATCATGGAAATGACCATTTTAAAGCTTTTCATTTAAGTCATCAGGAGCTCATAGCCAAATTCTCAAATAAAATACTGCAATTATATAAGCCGTTTTATGATCTTGGTTTTCTAATTTCCATATACAGAATTTATTTTGTGTACAAAATTTTATGTGGAAAGAGGTAAGATCAATTTATTAATTCATTAAATGTAGTTGAGCTCTCATTGCTGCCAGATAACCCATTAACTTTCATTCATCCACTCAGCAGTTCTCCCCTTCTCCACTCTGGCGTTCATCTTTCCATCTGCCTTCTAAGGTTTAACAGATGGCTTGCCTCCTCTGCTCCTTCTCTGCAAATGAAAGCTATAAACAAAATCTTTCTCAAGGTCATATCCAATTTACCTCTGACTTTCTCTATATGTTTGCCCAATCTATTTAATTATGGTACTAATTCTTAATATCCATAGAGTCTTCTTTTAATTGAAATGTAACATACACACAGAAAAGGTTAGAAATCTTATACCTGTACAGCTCAAAAGGTTTTCATAAACTAAACACCCCTATATAACTAGCACGAAGAGTAAGAAGCATAACCTTACCAATATTTCAGATATCCTCATGCTTTGTTCCAGTTACTACCCCTCTGCCAAGGGTAATCATTATCTTGGCATCTGATAGTACAGACTTTCTCTGCTTGCTTTTTAATTTTATTCAAATGGCCTCAGATAGTATGTACTCTTGTTTTGTTTGTTCTGCATACCCAGAACTACTTTGACCCTGGATCTTTCTTGTACCATTGGAGCATTGATGACTCAATATTCTCTTTCCATTCTATCATATATTTGCATTCTCTGATGGCTTTTCTTTCCCCTTCCCCAAAAGCTAATGCCTATTTTCTTCATCGTCAATTTTTTAAAGAGTTTTTCTCAATTGCCTATGTGTTATTTGGCCATCTGCAAAACTACCTTTTTTCACCAGTTTCCAATTCTTCTGAAAATCTTGCTAAGCTTACTTGTGACTTTCCATTTGTCAAATAAGAAGGCCAGCTTATTTCTCTACAGCATTTGACACTATAGGACCTCATCTATTTCCTGAAAATTCTACCTAAATGAGAGCCATTTTCTCTTCATTTTCCCTTTTACTCTCTGACTCCCAGTTTTCTTTGCATACTTATACGTTATAAACTGGGATTGCAATGTCTTTCCTTTTTGGTCTTTATACTTCTCACTTTACAGCCTCATCCATTGTAATTTCATCCATACTACTGCCTTTGTGCTATACATCCCATTTGATGCATAGCAGAGCTATAAATTTTGGTACCAGCACAATTCAGTTATGCAGAGAAATTTAATTTGATACTAATATACACCTCCTTTGTTATGATGCTGATTTTGTCTTTTTTGTAACCTTCAGCATACTGACCAAGAGAAAATATAAATAACACCGAAATTGTCTTTTTTCCTCTGTTTCTTACACTAAAATGACATCCCGGTACACAATAGAGACGTAAGGGCTACTCAAAGTTCTGGCTGAGGTCATGGAGGCCTCTGGTCCATTGTTGGTCCTTAAGTAGCATCTTTTACTTTCTAAGACAGTGTCTTTTTTATCTGCCTGATAGAGAACTTCTCTGCTAGCATATAATGCTATCATTCTCAGTTGACAGGACCAGGGAGCAGTCTGTCAGCTAAGCCAATAGTCCTGGAGTATGTGGGTGTCATGTTTCCCCTGCTGACTCACATCCCTACAGATCTCACTGCTAGCTGACTCTTCAGTATCTGCCATGGCTTTAGCTCAGCCCTGTGACCAGATGGTCCTCTGCGTGGGGTTCACCTCTTTCCACTTTATCTTACCACTCTGATCTTCTTGGAAGACTGTTAAACAAATCTTAGTGTTCTTTTTAGGAGGAAGGTTTAGGAGTGTCAATTTGACTCTCTTCTTCTGACCACACTAGCTGGGCTGAGCAGCCTAGTATTGTGATGTCTCCTACACAGTGGGCTCCTCCTCTGCCAGAGGCCAAATGGGAAGTGGGGACAAGGTACTGTCTTCTATCCACAATGCTGTGTATAATTTATTTAACATTTCTGTGGCTGAAGCTCATAGAGGAGATCCCAGCACACACATCTAGAGCCAAACAGATATAGTTGTTCCTTCATTTCCTTTGCTTCATGTCCTCCACTTGCATTATTGAGTGTACTGAATAAAATGGAAAGTTGGGCTGGGTTATCATCTCTACACTCTGGGGACAACTTTGTGATTCAAACATCTCCGCAGTTCCATGATGACTAATGATGTTGAGTATCTTTTCATGGGCTTGTCATTCATGTATTTTCTTTAGTGAAGTGTCTCTTCAGATCCTTTGCCCATTTTTAATTGATATTTTATTTTCTTATTATTGAGTGGTGATGGTTCTTTATACTATAATTATATATTTAATATGTATGTATTATATATAATATGTAGTTATGATACATTATATATAATTGTATATTTAATAAAATAAATATAAATATCAGACGTATAGATTTGTGTTGTTTAGTAAGAGTTTTCTTGCAAATTTTTATGTAATGAAACAAATGCAGACATTAAAACTTTTTGACAGTTATTTTGTACTTTTTAAGGTACAAACATTTATTCAACTAAATCCCGTATTTTACCTTTATACCTATTTGATACTATTATGTTCACTTGTACACCACAGATAATATCACTTAAAATTTTTAGGACAATTTTTTCCTTCTTCCTTGATATTTCTGGAAACATTCATTTACTCTCTTGAAAGATACAGAAGGAGGCAGTTAAATCTTTGCTGCCTGAAGGCATTGGAAGTGAAAGACAGTTAATAAGGTATTTCTTGTGGGCTTATTTATTTTGGGAAATAATACTGACAGGAATGCAAGTTCTTTGGAAGGCAGAGAAAGGTAAAAATAATGGGTCCAATTTCCTGGGTTCTTTCAAAGACCTGTTAAAGTCACTGGCAGTGTTATTATTTGACAACACTTAAAAAGAAACATTTAATTTTAGAAATATCAGTATACTACAGATGAAATAGGTTCTGTGCAATTGATCTTAGATGGTCAAACATTACTTAGGAAACAGAACAGATGATCTTGTTTGAATGGCATTCTTGAATGTGGAAATTAACCACTCTGATTTTTCAGTTGGTTGGAGTTTTAAAGAGTCAGTCATAGTTACTGAGTTTTGTATATGATTACTTTGGCCACAAAGACTGGCCCATTTGATTTAAGTTTTATTGCCTCTGTGCTAATTTTACCTTTAAAAGGCTTCAGTGTAAGTAGGATGTCTTCTGTGTGTGTAAGTTAATTACGATCTCAACCTATGGGAATGTTTGCTAGCATTTGGATATATTGTATATTCCAGAGAAAGAAGTTTATTCTCCTAATATAGTCATCTAAATCTATATTTAAGTACTTAAGTATTATCATAAGACACGGTAGAGGTAATTTTTTACTAGTAGAATGAGGAGTATTAAACACAGGTCATTGAGTATAAACACTAAATAGGCTCTACCTCCCTTGTATAAACAAGATATAGGATATTGAGTAAATATGGCAGCCTAATCTTGAGGAACAACATGCAAGGTATGGAGCTTGCTGGTCGTGTGTCCCTCCAATTTACGGAGGGCTCTTTCACTCAAACCTGTTTCATGACTGGCTCTTCTTGCTGCTGCGACATGTTAAGGATAGCTCAGAGTGAACTTTTCATTGAAATTTCTAATTGAAGTGCCTGAAGACAGAAGGGAACATCTTCTAACAATAAGAGTAACTGATATGACCCCCATTTTGTGCCTCTCTGCTGGTAAATAACTATATGTTTGACAAAATTTGTTCTAAGGCTAACTTCCATAGACACACCCTTTGTTAAAGAACCCTTGAAAGAAGAAAGCATGGACCCCACCTAACATATGGCTGAGGCCAGTTGTACTTACAACTAGTAGACATTTTTGAAAAGCAGGGTGGCTTAGTTCTGTTCACATAAATCCAAATGACCAAAGTATTTGGGTTTTATCCTAAAATTACGTGAGATATATAAAATCTATTAACTGAATGAGTGATCATCTTGAAATATTTAGCTTCTATTTGTCTAAATGTATCCATCCATAAAGAGTGAGCAAATATCCCCAACTCTTAATTTCAAGTTTGTGAAAAATAGCTAAACTAATGAGTGGCTGTGAGATGCCCTCAAGCACTTAGTTATAAGATATTCTATGAATTTGAATTTGCATGATTATCAATCATTACTTATGCACTTAAATGTGTTTTTCTCTTTTTCCCTCAGTTCCCTCTATAACCTGAAAAAATATCTGGCTGATAACAATAGTTACTGAGAAAATATGCATCTTTACCTCCTTCCTTCACTCCTGAGTGCATCAGTTAAAAAACTTTTATTAAATATTTGCTAAACTGGGCTCAAATACTCATTATGAAATATTGCAGGAAGCAATAAATGTGTCTCCTGTTTTTAGGTTTCTGTATCTGAAAAATTAAAAAATGAGATATGTGGCTGAGTCCATAAATATTGTTGTCTAGATGTATAAATAAGAAATTTCAAAAAGCTAGAGCATAGGCTAAATTACTAGTGCAGTAAACAATTATGAATACTTTAGTAATTATAGTAATGTGAGAAATATATTTTTAGAAGTAGACCAGTATTTTAGTAGGATAAATAAGATGTGGCCTTGTTTAAAAGAGGGAGATCTCATAGACAAGACCTCAATATCAAAGCTTTATGTTTTCCTTGAAATTTTTAGTTTCTGACATGCTCTTTTACCTTAAAGCAAACAAACGAAACTCCCCCAATTTTTTTAAACATGACTCAATTAATGTCTAAGTACTTTTTTTTTTGAGACCGCTCTGTCGCCAAGCTGGAGTGTAGTGGTGCAATCTCCGCTCACTGCAACCTCCGAATCCCTGCCTCAGCCTTCCGAGTAGCTTGGATTACGGGCACGTGCCACCACACCAAGGTAATTTTTGTATTTTTAGTAGAGACGGGGTTTCACCATGGGCCAGAATGGTCTTGATCTCCTGACCTTGTGATACACCCTCCTTGTCCTCTCAAAGTGCTGGGATAACAGGTGTGAACCACTGCACCTGGCCATGTCTAAGTAGTTTTTAAAACTCTAAAATCTTAATGGCTGAATATCTAAATATAGTATAAGCAGTAACAGGTAGGTGTGGACTGGAGATTATGTACTTATATGCTTCATAGGAATGTTGGTAAATAGGACTTGCTCTTCATGTCTATGGGCCAAACTGACCAAAAATCTCTTCAACTCTGACTTTACCAGATAACTATTTGAAAAAAAAATACAGAATTTTGTTCTCTATCCTAGTGGGACAATTTTGGCTTCTCTCCTGATTATACATGCATTCCCAGTTCTGCCATTCAGATATTCTAGACATTGTTTTTACTTTTTATTTGCATCTGTCAACTATTTCTCACTTATCTGTGTAGATACCCTCCATGCTATTTATTCCTCCATCTGCCCACTACTTTCTTATCCATCTGTGTAGATATTCCCCATGCTATTATACTGGTTTATTTCTATTTGTATTGGCCCTCCATCACTCATCACTCAAGGCAGTAATGGAACACCTTCCACAACCTGATTTTTGTTTGTTGTTTGTTTGTTTAATAATGGAAGAGGTATTCCTCACTAGATGGCAGAAATCAATGCTCATTGCTAACTCAGGTATTTTAGTTTTACTGCTCAAGTTATAGTGAATTGCTAATACAGAAAACAGAATAGAGTTTAAGTAAAGTATTTTCTATGTATATTGGTATGTTGAAATCATTTTTTCATTCTTTCTTATTGATTGTAAACAGAGGCTCTCTCATTCTCTGAGCTCATAGATCCCCACAAGGGCTGAATTAGCATGATCTAAAATACATTCTTACTCTGTACCTACAGCTGCTCCATCTATAGGCCCTTTTCCTCCTAATGAGAGTAGCTCACTCTGTTAGACAAATTTCTATGGCTGGAGATCCAACATCATATTGGTTAAGGTATGATCTCTATAGTCAGTAAAAATTACATGTTATATTTCATCTCTCACAATTTCAATTTCTTCTTTTGAAGTCTCTAGAATATGCTCCTTCAATTCAAATAAGGTAAAATAAAATAAATTGTAATCTCTAGAATATATAGAGTTTATATATAAACCTTGTTTGCAGAGTTGTGGGGAAGTTTTAAAAGACGCATACAAGATTAATTTTATTCTGGGAATTCTAGTTGCAAAGGCGAATAAGTACAGTGTTATTTCATTGAAATGATGTGTTTACCACACTCTGGTGCATAGACTACACTATGTAAAGTAATATGGATATAAAAAGTGAATTAGACACAGCCTCGTACAAAACAAGCACTCACTACATGTGAACTCTCATTCTGGTGATTGTCTCTCAAGGTATTTTGTCATACCTTTTGGCAATCTGCCTTTCATACAGTCACTTCATATTCCCCACCATTTGTCAGATATGCCTGTACATATATGTCGTCTCATTACAGGCAAACTTTCTTTCTTTTCTTTATGATATCTGGACCTCAGGAAAATCATAATAACAGTAGACAATGGCTTAGAAGAAAATAAAAATGTTTTCTAAAATAAATTCCAGTTGTTTTAATAATCTATAAGTGGAACCAAATTATGACTGAACTAGGAGATAATTTAGATTATTTGTAGAATCACAGGTCTTTCTTTAGAAAGAAACAAAACTCAGAGATCATAGAAAAAAAGATAGACATTTGGCTATTCAAGCACACACACAATGCACACACACAAAGACAAAGAGAGAGAAAGCCAGAGACAACTACAGCAAAGAGAGTAAGAACAAGAGAGAGAGAGTCTATATAATGTTATCCACTACAAAGTGAAAGGAAAATAACAGAAGGGAACTGCCAGTCCACTAGACACAGCTTTCAGCCATTATATGAAATAACTCTCCTGTTTAATAATAGGTAATTGGTCATTATGCATCAAAAATTCTTTTATAAATTAAAAAATAGACAACCTGTTAGAAAAAAACATGGAAATAACAAAATTACAATTCATATGGCCAATAAAATTCAAAAAGATGATCAAGCTGACCATCTTTTCTTTCATAAAAGAAGAGCCAATTTAAACAAAGCATAAAAGAAATACAGTGTTGATTAGAATATGAGGAAATTGGCATTTTATATAGTGATTATGGAAGGAGTAATTTGGTAGTATTATTCTACATCTAGAGAAGAATCTAGAGAATTCTACTTCTAGAGAAGTGGTCTAGAGAAATTATAGCATGAGTACATTAAAATAAGTAACAAAATGATAATTTGCAACATTATCAATATAAAAGGAATATATTAAAATAATAAAAATGCCTAGAAGATCAGTTTTAAATTTAAACTGGCATATAAAATATATTGGAATACTTAGAAGTGATTTAGAAGAATGAGATAAACACACACACACACTGACTCAGATACATGTTTTCGATAAGCTGTTAAATAAGAACAAGCAAGCTGAAGATTAATGGTTCAATTTTGGTAAAAGATAATACTTAACGTTTGTGTTTACATGTGCATAGATATCTATATTTAAACAAAAAAGTTGGGGAAAATATGCACTTTTTTTACATTTAATACACTTTAGAAGGGCACATGTATGAATGATGTTTCTGGGAATTCTAGTTGCATGGGTGAATAAGTACAGGGTTATTTTATTGAAAGGATACATTCACCACACTCTGGTACATAGACTGCACTACATAAAGTCATATGGATATGAATGTTTCTAAAAGTCATAGTATTTGTTTGCATCAAGGTAATGTTATTTCACTAAAAGAATGTGTTCACTGCCCTGTTACATTTAATAAAGTTTTGTATTAATCTGTTCTCATGTTGCTATGAAGAACTACCTGAGACTGAGTAGTTTATGAAGAAAAGAGGTTTAATTGATTCACAGTTTCACAGGATCTATGGGAGGCATGGCTGGGAGATGAAGGGGAATCAAGCACATCTTCACATAGCAACAGGAGAGAGAGAAAAGGGGGAAGTGCTACACACATTTAAACAACTAGTTCTTGTGATAACTTACTCACTATCATGAGAACAGCAAGGGAAAATCTGCCCTCATGATCCAATCACCTCCCACCAGGTCCTTTCCCCAACATTGGGAATTCCAATTGAACATGAGATTTGGGTGGGGTCAGAGAGTGAAATCATATTATTCTGCCCCTGGCCCTTCCAAGGTCTCATATCCTTCAATTCTGAAACAAATTCATGCATTTGCAACAGTCCCCAAAAGCCTTAACTCATTACAACATTAATTCAAACATCCAAGTCCAAAGTCTCACCTAAGACAAGGCAAGCGCCTTTCACCTATAAAATAAAAAACAAGTTAGTTACTTCCAAGATACAGTGGAGGTACAGGGTAAATACATTCCAAAGGGGAGAAATTGGCCAAAACAAAGGGGATACAGACCTCATGCAAGTCCAAAACCCAGTAGGGCAGTCATTAAATCTTGTAGCTCCAAAATAATCTCCTTTGACTCCATGTCTCATATCCAGGGCACACTGATGCAAGGAAGGGGCCCTGAATGCCTTGGGCAGCTCTGCCTCTGTGGCTCCGCAGGGTATAGCCCCCCTGGCTGCTTTCACTCATTGGCATTAAGTGTCTACAGCTTTTCCAGGTGCATGATGCAAACTATAGGTGGATCTACCATTCTGGGGTCTGTATGATGGTGCCCCTCTTCTCACAGCTCCACTAGGCAGTGCCCCAATGGGGACTCTGTGTGAGGGTTGCAACCCCACATTTCTCTCCACACTGCCCTAGTAGAGGTTCTTCATGAGGGTTCCAAACCTTCAGGAGACTTCTGCCTCGACATCCAGTCATTTCCATACATCCTCTGAAATCTAGGTGGAGGCTGACAAGCCTCAACTCTTGCCTTCTGCACACCAGCAGGCCTAACACCATGTGGAAGCTGCCAAGGCTTAGGGCTTACACCCTCTGAACCAATGGCTGGAGCTGTACCTTGGCCCCTTTTAGCCACAGCTGGAGCTGGAGCAGCTGGGACACAGGGTGCCATGTCCTGAGGCTTCATAGAGCAGCAGAGCCCTAGGCCTGGTCCACAGAATCATTTTTCCCTCCTAGGCCTCCAGGTCTGTGATGGCAGGGGCTTCCGTGAGGGTCTCTGAAATGCCCTGGAGGCATTTTTTCCATTGTCTTGGCTATTAACATTTGGTGACTTTTTACTTATGCAAATTTCTGCACCCTGAATTTCTCCCCAGAAAATGAGTTTTTCTTTTCTACCACATGGTCAGGCTGCAAATTTTCCAAATTTACACTCTGCTTCCCTCTTATATATAAGTTCTCCTTCCTTAGGAAAATGAACATAGGCTTTTTAGAAGCAGCCAGACCACATCTTGAACACTTTGCTGCTTAGACATTTCTTCTGCCAGATACCCTAATTCATCTATTTCAAGTTTAAGTTCCACAGATCTCTAGAGCAGGGGCACAAAGCCACCAGTCTCTTTGCTAAAGCATATCAAGAGGGACCTTTACTCCAGTTCCCAATAAATTTCTCATCTCCATCTGAGACCTCCTCAGCCTGGACTGTCCATATCACTATCAGCATTTTAGTCACAACCATTCAACAAGTCTCTAGGGACTTCCAAACTTTTCGCATCTTCCTGTCTTCTTCTGAGCCCTCCAAACTGTTCCAACCTCTGCCTTTTATCCAGTTTCAAAGTCACTTCTACATTTTCAGGTATTTTTATAGCAATGCTCCACTTCTCTGGTACCACTTTTCTGTATTAGTTTGTTCTCACATTGCTGTAAAGAACTAACTGAGACTGGGTAGTTTATAAGGAAAAGAGGTTTAATTGACTCACAGTTCTGCAGGCTCTACAGAAGGCATAACTGGAGAGGCCTCAGGAAACTTACAATCATGGCAGAACGTGAAGGGGATGCAAGCATGTCTTCACATGGTGACAGGAGAAAGAGCAAAGGGAAAATGCTATACACTTTTAAACAACTCCATCTCATGAGAATTCACTCACTATCACAAGAATGGCAAAGGGGAAATCTGCCCTAATGATTCAATCACCTCCCACCGGGTCACTTCCCCAAAATTGGGAATTATAACTCAACATGAGATTTGAGTGGGGAAACAAAGCAAAACCATATCAACTTTAAAAAGGCACATGTGTAAAAGATGTTTCTAAGAATATGTGAATGAGTATAGTTCTATTTCAATGAATGAATGTGTTCGCCTAACATTGCTGCATTTAATTCACTCTGTAGAGACACATGTATAAATGACAAGGTTTTTTTTTTAAGTAAATCTTCAGATCTTATTTAACTGAAACGTTCTACCCTTTGACCAACATCCCCTCATTTCTACTTCCCTCAACTCCTGGAAACCACCATTCTATTCTCTGCTTCTATACGTTTGATGGAAACCACCTTTCTATTCTCTGCTTCTATACGTTTGATAGTATATTAACATATATTCTATATGTTTGATACCATATTTTAGATCTCACATATAAGTAAAATCATGAGGAATTTATCTTTACAGAAGGACAAATAGAAAGACAAAGAGAAATATATTTTCAGAATCTGTCTATTTTTTAACTGAATTGTCACTTTTGTTTTTGTTTTTTGCTATTGAGTTCTAGGATTTTCTTATATAGTTGGATATTAATACCTTATCAGATGTATGATTTGTAAATATTCTCTCCCATTTCATAGGTTACCTTTTCATTTAGTTAATTGTTTCCTTGCTATGTAGAAGCATTTCAGTTTGATTTGTTCCCGCTTGTCTATTTTTGATTTTGTTGCCTGTGCTTTTGGTGTTATATCCAAGAAATCATTGCCCAGTCCTATGTCTAGAGGTCTTCCTATATGTTTTCTTCCAAGAGTTTTATTATTTCATGTTTTATATTTAATTCTTTAATCCTTTTTGAGTCTATTTTTCCATATGGTGTGAGATGAAAGTCCAATTTTATGTTATGTTATTTATTTATTTATTTATTTATTTTTGAGACAGAGTCTCACTCTGTTGCCCAGGCTGGAGTGCAGTGGCACGATCTCGAGTCACTGCCACCTTCACCTCCTGGGCTTGAGCAATTCTCATGCCTCAGCCTCCAAAGTAGCTAGGATTCCAGGCATGCACCACCACACCCAGATAATTTCTTCTATTTTTAGTAGAGATGAGGTTTCACTGTGTTAGCCATGCTAGTCTCAAACTCCTGACCTCAAGTGATCAGCCCACTTTCAGCCTCCCAAAGTGCTGGACTTACAGGTGTGAGCCACCGCATGTGGCCCAATTTTATTCTTTATCACGTAGACATGTAATTTTCGTAGACATGTAATTTTCTTAACACCATTTACTGAACAGACTATCTTTTCCCCATCTGTGGCTCCTTTGTCAAAGAACAGTTGACCATACATGTGTGAGTTTGTTCCTGGGCTCTTTATTTGATTCAATTCATCTGTATATTTGCTTTTATGCCAGGACAAGTCTTTTGATTAGTGTACCTTTGTAATATGTTTTAAATCATAGAGTATAGAGTGTCATACTTTAAACTTTGCTCTTCTTGCTTAAAATTGCTTTGTCTATTCAGGGTATTTTGTAGTTCCTTATGAATTTTAGATTTTTTTCTATTTAAAGAATGTCATGGGTATTTTTATAGGAATTGTAATAAATCTACAAGTAGCTTTCAGTAGTATTGACATCTTGCCAATATTAATTCTTCCAATCTGTTAACATGAGATGTCTTTCCATTTATTTGTATCTTTTTAAATTTTACCAGTGTTTTGTAGTTTTCAGTGTACATGTCTTTTACCGCCTTGGTTAAGTTTGTTCCTAAGTGTTTTATTCTGTTTGATGCTTTTGTAAATCGAATTGCTTTCTCTAATTCTTATCAATTAGGCTATGGTTAATGAATACAAAAGCTACTGATTTTGTATGTTGATTTAGTATTTTGCAACTTTATTAAAGTTTTTTATTAGTTCTTACTTTCGGGGTAGAGTCTTTAGGGTTTTCAGCATATAAGATCATGTCAACTGCACACAGAGATAGTTTGACTTCTTCCTTTCTAATTTATATGCTCTTCATTTATTTTTCTTCTTTAATTGCTCTAGCTAGCACCTTCAACACTATGTTTAATAGGAGAGGTGACAGTGAGCATTCTTGCCTTGCTTCAGATCATAGAAACTGTTCAGCTTTTCACCATTGAGTATAATCTAAGTTGTGAGCTTATCATATATGGCCTTTATTTTGTTGAGATAAGTTCCTTCTATGCCTAAATTGTTGAGAGTTTGTTACTATTAAGGGTGGTCACAATTTGTCAAATGCGTTTTCTGTATCTATTGAAATGATTACATGATTTTTTTGTCCTTCATTCTATTAATGTGGTATATCACATTGATTGATTTTCATATGTTGAGCCATGCTTGCATTCGAAGGGTAAATCTTACCTACTTGGTCATGGTGTATGATTCTTTTATTTTCATGTTGTATTTGACTTGCCAGTGTTTTGCTGAAAATTTTTGCATCTATGTTGATCAGAGCTGTTGGCCTGTCATTTTCTTTTCTGGCAGTGCCTTTGTCTAGGTTTGGGAGCAGGCTGATACTGACCTCATAAAAGGAGTTTGGATGTGTTCCCTCTTTTTATGTGTTTTTGAAAAAGTTTTCAAATTTTGGTATTAATTATTATTTAAATGTTTGATGAATTCAGCAGTGAAGCCATTTAGTTCTTAGCTTTTCTTTATTATAATTATTACTTCTTCAATCACCTTACTGATTATTGTTCATTATTGCTTTTCTTTCTTTTTGATTCAGTCTTGGTAGGTTGTAAGTTTCTAGAAATTTGTTTTTTCTAGGTTGTCCAATTCACTCATGTAGTCCCTTATGATCCTTTGTATTTCTGTTGTTAAGTCCCCTCTTTCATATCTAATTTTATTTGACTCTTTCCCTTTTTTTTTAGTCTAGCTAATATTCTGTCAGTACAATTTTGTGTATCTTTTTGAAAAATAAACAGGTTTGTTGGTTTTTCTTATTTGTTTTTCTAGCCTCTGTTTCATTTATTTCTTCTAATATTTATTATTTCATTCTTTCTAATAATTTTGGGTTGAGTTTCTTCATCTTTTCTATTCCCTTGAAATGTAGTTATTTATTTGAACGCTCTCTTACTTTTAACATAGGCATTCATTACTATAAACTAAACTTTACTCTTAGTACTGCTTTTGCTGCATTCAGTATGTTTTGGTGCATTGTGTATTCATTTTGTTTGTTTCAACATATTTTCTAACTTCCTTTTTTATTTCTTCTTTGACCCAATAGTTGTTTAAAAGTTTTTTGTTTAATTTCTTTGAATTTGTTAATTTTCCCATTTTCTTTCTATTGTTAACTTTCTGTTTAATTCCATTATGATCAGAAAAGATACTGGTAATAATTTCAGTCTTCTAAATTATAAAGGCTTGTTTTGTGATGTAGCATGTGATCTATCCTGGATGATGTTCTGAATACACTTGAGTAGAATGAGTAATCTGTTGCTGTTGATTGGAATGTTCTGCATTTGGCTGTTAGATCCATTTGGTCTAGAGTGATATTCAAGTCAGCAGTGGAATTGTTTAGATGATCTATCTGTTATAGAGAGTGAATATTGAAGTATCCTACTATTATTGTATTTTTGTCTGTTTCTACCTTCAGTTTGTCAATGTTTGCTTTATATATTTAGGTGCTTTGATGTTGGGTACATATATATTTAAAATTGTAACATGTTTTTGTTGAATTTATCCTTTTATTATGTAATGTCCTTCTTAATCTCTCCTAACAGTTTTTGACTTAATTTCTATTTTATCTAATATAAGTATAGCCATCCCTGTTCTCTTTTGATGGCCATTTGCATGGAATATCTTTCTTTACCTCCTCACCATTAGCCTAAGTGTGTCCTTAAATGTAAGGTGACACTTCTAGACAGCATATAGTTGGGTCATGCTTTTTAATCTATTCATCCACTCCAGGTCTTTTGATTGATTGATTGATTGATTTAGTCCATTTACATTTAAAGTAATTATTGATAGGTAAGAACTTACTATTGACATTTTGTTTTCTGTCTGTTTTGTAGGATTTTTTTCCTCTTTTCTCTTGTTATCTTTCTTTGTGGTTTGATTTTTTGTTGTTTTGTTTGTTTGTTTGCTTCTTTTTTTTCCTTTTTTTATTATACTTTAAGTTTTAGGGTACATGTGCACATTGTGCAGGTTAGTTACATATGTATACATGTGCCATGCTGGTGTGCTGCACCCACTAACTCGTCATCTAGCATTAGGTATATCTCCCAGTGCTATCCCTCCCCCCTCCCCCCACCCCACAACAGTCCCCAGAGTGTGATATTCCCCTTCCTGTGTGCATGTGATCTCATTGTTCAATTCCCACCTATGAGTGAGAATATGCGGTGTTTGGTTTTTTGTTCTTGCGATAGTTTACTGAGAATGATGATTTCCAATTTCATCCATGTCCCTACAAAGGACATGAACTCATCATTTTTTATGGCTGCATAGTATTCCATGGTGTATATGTGCCACATTTTCTTAATCCAGTCTATCATTGTTGGACATTTGGGTTGGTTCCAAGTCTTTGCTATTGTGAATAATGCCACAATAAACATACGTGTGCATGTGTCTTTATAGCAACATGATTTATAGTCCTTTGGGTATATACCCAGTAATGGGATGGCTGGGTCAAATGGTATTTCTAGTTCTAGATCCATGAGGAATCGCCACACTGACTTCCACAATGGTTGAACTAGTTTACAGTCCCACCAACAGTGTAAAAGTGTTCCTATTTCTCCACATCCTCTCCAGCACCTGTTGTTTCCTGACTTTTTAATGATTGCCATTCTAACTGGTGTGAGATGGTATCTCATAGTGGTTTTGATATGCATTTCTCTGATGGCTAGTGATGATGAGCATTTTTTCATGTGTTTTTTGGCTGCATAAATGTCTTCTTTTGAGAAGTGTCTGTTCATGTCCTTCGCCCACTTTTTGATGGGGTTGTTTGTTTTTTCTTGTCAATTTGTTTGAGTTCATTGTAGATTCTGGATATTAGCCCTTTGTCAGATGAGTAGGTTGCAAAAATTTTCTCCCATTTTGTAGGTTGCCTGTTCACTCTGATGGTAGTTTCTTTTGCTGTGCAGAATCTCTTTAGTTTAATTAGATCCCATTTGTCAATTTTGGCTTTTGTTGCCATTGCTTTTGGTGTTTTGGACATGAAGTCCTTGCCCATGCCTATGTCCTGAATGGTAATGCCTAGGTTTTCTTCTAGGGTTTTTATGGTTTTAGGTCTAACGTTTAAATCTTTAATCCATCTTGAATTGATTTTTGTATAAGGTATAAGGAAGGGATCCAGTTTCAGCTTTCTACATATGGCTAGCCAGTTTTCCCAGCACCATTTATTAAATAGGGAATCCTTTCCCCATTGCTTGTTTTTCTCAGGTTTGTCAAAGATCAGATAGTTGTAGGTATGTGGCGTTATTTCTGAGGGCTCTGTTCTGTTCCATTGATCTATATCTCTGTTTAGGTACCAGTACCATGCTGTTTTGGTTACTGTAGCCTTGTAGTATAGTTTGAAGTCAGGTAGTGTGATGCCTCCAGCTTTGTTCTTTTGGCTTAGGATTGACTTGGCGATGCGGGCTCTTTTTTGGTTCCATATGAACTTTAAAGTAGTTTTTTCCAATTCTGTGAAGAAAGTCATTAGTAGCTTGATGGGGATGGCATTGAATCTGTAAATTACCTTGGGCAGTATGGCCATTTTCACGATATTGATTCTTCCTACCCATGAGCATGGAATGTTCTTCCATTTGTTTGTGTCCTCTTTTATTTCGTTGAGCAGTGGTTTGTAGTTCTCCGTGAAGAGGTCCTTCACATCCCTTGTAAGTTGGATTCCTAGGTATTTTATTCTCTTTGAAGCAATTGTGAATGGGAGTTCACTCATGATTTGGCTCTCTGTTTGTCTGTTGTTGGTGTATAAGAATGCTTGTGATTTTTGTACATTGATTTTGTATCCTGAGACTTTGCTGAAGTTGCTTATCAGCTTAAGGAGATTTTGGGCTGAGACAACGGGGTTTTCTAGATATACAATCATGTCGTCTGCAAACAGGGACAATTTGACTTCCTCTTTTCCTAATTGAATACCCTTTATTTCCTTTTCCTGCCTAATTGCCCTGGCCAGAACTTCCAACACTATGTTGAATAGGAGTGGTGAGAGAGGGCATCCCTGTCTTGTGCCAGTTTTCAAAGGGAATGCTTCCAGTTTTTGCCCATTCAGTATGATATTGGCTGTGGGTTTGTCATAGATAGCTCTTATTATTTTGAAATACATCCCATCAATACCTAATTTATTGAGAGTTTTTAGCATGAAGGGTTGTTGAATTTTGTCAAAGGCTTTTTCTGCATCTATTGAGATAATCATGTGGTTTTTGTCTTTGGCTCTGTTTATATGCTGGATTACATTTATTGATTTGCGTATATTGAACCAGCCTTGCATCCCAGGGATGAAGCCCACTTGATCATGGTGGATAAGCTTTTTGATGTGCTGCTGGATTTGGTTTGCCAGTATTTTATTGAGGATTTTTGCATCAATGTTCATCAAGGATATTGGTCTAAAATTCTCTTTTTTGGTTGTGTCTCTGCCCGGCTTTGGTATCAGAATGATGCTGGCCTCATAAAATGAGTTAGGGAGGATTCCCTCTTTTTCTATTGATTGGAATAGTTTCAGAAGGAATGGTACCAGTTCCTCCTTGTACCTCTGGTAGAATTCGGCTGTGAATCCATCTGGTCCTGGACTCTTTTTGGTTGGTAAATTATTGATTATTGCCACAATTTCAGTTTTTTAATGGCATTCTTTACCCTTTTCTTCATCTTTTGTGTATCCATTGTACATTTGTATGTTTGTGTTGGTGTGTGGTTACCATGGGGGCTCAGATCAAACATGTTATATCAGTCTATTATAATATTGTAGTGAATTAATTTCAATTGCATACCAAAATTCTATACTTACTCCCCAACATACTTAGTGTAATTTATGTCATATTTAACTTGTTTCTATGTTGTTTCCATTAAAATATTTTTATAGTTATAGTTGTTGTTACTACTTTTGTCTTTTAATTTGTACACTAGTATTAAATGTGACTTACATGTCACCTTTACAGCATAACAATATTTTGTGGTTTGTGTTTATAGTTACTCTTTAAAAATGAGATTTGTATTTTCACATGGTTTCATGTTGTTTAGCATCTTTTCATTTCAACTTGAATAACTCCCTTTAGCACATCACAGCTGGGGGAAGGGAAAAGAAACGCACAAAAACCATCACTACCCCTCATGGAAGTGCAGGGTCGTGTTTTGGGCCCAGCAGCTGGAGAGGAGCACTTGTGAAGGCTGCGCTTCCAAGAACCCAGAGCCAATGGAAAGTCTGTCTGAGGATAGGGTTCGTCAGAACATCAGATAATTCCATTCCCCTCGTTCCTTTCTGTGACCAAGCTAATATCTTTAGAGTGAAAATAACAGCACAATATACCTGGGACGGTAACAAGAGAGAGATTCTTTCTGGGGCCTTGTATAAAGGGCAGAATCAAATAAGTGGAGAGTAGAAATTGAGAAAATGCTCTCTGGCAAGCTACTACCCACAATAAAAACAAAATACCACTAGAGAAGTTTAAAACCTACAGTCAACTGGGGAACAGCAACAACAAACCCCAAACCAGTACTACTTCTGACTTGATTAAAACAAACCCCATATTAAAGCTCTAGGAGAAGAAAAGGGCACATCACCCAGCATTAAAATATAATGCTTTGCGAAAATAATCCAAATTCCCATTGACAGATGAATGGATAAACAAAATGTTATATATATGTGTATATATATATATATATATATATATATATATACATATATATGTTTATATATAGTATATATATTTGTTATGTATTGTACATATATTTGTTATATATTTGTTGTATATATATTTGTTATATATTGTTATATATATATATATATATATATATATATAAAATTCTGCCTTAAAAATGAAGGAAATTCTGCTGCATGCTATAACATGGATAAAAGCATTATACTAAGTGAAATAAGCCAGATATAAAAAAACAAACATTATGTAATCCAACTGACAGGACCTACCTAAAATCAGCAAATTCATAGAGTCAGAAAGTAGAGGAGAGGGCATCAGGCATTGGGGAAGGGGGGAATGGGGAGTTATTGTTTAATGAGTATAGAGTTTCAGTTTGGGATGATTAAAAGTTTCTAGAGATGGATGTTGGCATTGGTTGCACAAAAATTTGAATATGCTTAATGTCTCTGAATTGTACACTTAAAATGGCTTAAATGGAAAAGTTAATTTTGTGTATATTTTATCACAATAAAAAATATATTTGCCTTGGAATATACTGTTCTGCCCAAGAAGTTTGATTTCCAGAAGGAAAAAATTAAGGCATACAAAAAATGACAAAAGATCACCACCAGGCTCAGATACAAAACAGCTTTTGGTATATCAGACTAGGAATTTGACATAACTATAATTAATCTGCTAAAGGTTCTAGTAGGTAAGTCAGAAAATATGCATGATCAGATGGGTAATTTCAGCAGAAAGCTATAAGAAAGAATCTAGAAATGCTAAAAATAGAAAAATATATAGCATGAAGATAAATAGTACCTTTGATAGGCTGATAGGCACATCAGTAGATTCAGAGAGATTCAGTGATCTTGAAGATAAGACAAGAGCAACTACAAACTGAAGCACACACACAGAAAAGAGAAAACTGTTAAGAACAGAATATGCAAAAGGTATGGTACAATATTAATCATCTAATATATATATAATTGGAATCCCCTAAATGAGAATGGGACAGAAGAAATACTTAAGTAAGCAATAACAGAGAAATTCCCAATAGAGAAATTCTCAGATCCAAGAAGGTAACATAATATTTTCTGTAAACCTACCATTTTCTCTCGTCTATTCTGTCCTCTGTGAGATTCAGCTTTGCTGCAATCCTACCAAACATGTTAAAGATAGTTGCTTCTCAAAGCCCTTATGTAGCAAGAACTTGTAAGACCATTAACTCTAAATCTTTCTAGTAATGTGTACCTATGTGTCTGTTCCCTTCTATGCTTCTATGCCTTCAGTTTAATGTTGTATTATCATATTAACAACCATATATCACAGTGGCACTATATGTAATGATACCAAAATACAAATTGCTTTAAACATTTATTAAAATCTTAAATTCCATTTGTTAATCAGTCTACTGATAAATGAAGACATTTAAAAGAGACAGAAATATATTATAGAATAAAGTTAGATCAATAATAAAAATTTATGCTAAAGTGATTTATATATAGTTAGGGAAGGCTAGATGCTCAAGAAAAGACAAAGAATAAAGGGAAAAATACTTAACACCTTCTAAAATATATGTAAAGTGTTGATATTCTAATAAAAATAAATCTTTGCAGTAAAAATTAGAAAGTTTATTTCAGCTGAATATGCTTATTTTGAAAAAATTAAAACTGACTAAAAAGTTGTAAATATTTCCAACTGTTATTAAAATTTTGAGTCTTCATCTGTAGATTTTTTTATAAGGCGGATTGCCTAACCTTTGTAAATATATTGCTCATTGCAGCCAGGGGAATATGTTAGATTCATCCAATAAACATTTACTTAATGACTTTTCAAGGTTTTACAAGTCTTGTGATTCCAAAATACCTTAGCATTTACTTTATGTGAACATTTTACAAGTGATGCACTCCAAATTTTCCAAGAAATTCTTCAGAGATATAAAAACATTCCTTGTCTCTTAAGTGAATAATAACTAAAATGTATGCCGTGGTGGTATGAGTATTTATAAAGTCCACCTAATTTCTCTGGTTATGGCAGATCTGTAGTTTTATTATTAAAATAATAAATGGTGTTCTAAAATAATATTCAGCAGTATCTCTAGGTCCTAGTACATAGTAGGTGCTTAATAAAACATGCAGCGGGAAGGAACCAAAAAAAAAAAAAAAGAAGGTGAAGAAGAGGGGAGAGGGTAGTGAGAGAGGGAGAAACAAGGGGAGGAATCGATTTGCTTTCATTAACTTTATTGCTTAACCTGTGTGATCCAGTATTTTAGAGAGTTAACGTACCATATGTCCAAATTAAAATTGAATAATCTGAGGTTCTCTTGCAAATTTAGAAGTTAGAATTTATTTATTTATTTATTTATTTAAAACATTATTTGTCTGCCTACTTTGTGTTAGGCCCTGTGCTTGGTGCTGGGATGTAAAGATGTGATGTATTTCTGCTCCAAGTAGCTTGTATTTTTATAAGAAAGTCAGATATGAATAAATCATTGCAATACAGTGAAGGAACAAGTTCCTGGTAATATACAAAGTGAGATGTAATTACCTCAGGTCATTAATTTAAAGAGGGCTAAAAAGTGGATAATAATTTTCTGGTTAAAAAAGAAAAGAAAAGAAAAAAATAGCATGCCAGGCAGAAGGATTCAAATGCATGAAGGCTTAAATGTGTGACATAGCAAGACCCATTGAGGGAGCTGAAATTAGTCTAATGTAGCAGAAGAATAATCTATCGATGGAAAAATCCTTCTAGAGTTAGTATGAGATTGCAGGCAGGGACATAGTAAGAGACTATGCCAGTGGTCCAAGCAGGAAATGGTGGACAATGAAAAGAAGGTTGGGGAGGAGAGGGTTGATTTTAGAGACATTTAAAAGGAAGAATAGTCAGGAACTTATTTGCATTAATTGGGAGGAATTGCAGAAATATCCCTAACAGTATAGCTGAAAATAACTAGTATATTTAAATGATAAAGAAAAGAGAAAGAATACATAGGAAAAACAGTGATTCGTATGTTCTACTTGCTCTTTGTGAAGTGTCTCTATGTATGTCATTCAAGAGGATATTCATTGTCTGTTAGATATAAATCTCTGAAGGTCAAGAAGATATATAAATAGGACATGATTTTGTGCAAGGATAGCTTCCTAGAGAAATATATAAGGTTTCTTTATCTTTTCTTTGACTTTTGTGGGGGTAACTGAAAATAAATATCCTGCATTTGTGGCAAGATTGTAACAAAGTTTTTAAATAGAGGAAATATGAATTATGTAATGAAAAGTTTAAGGCATATCGGTTTTAAACTGTATTTATTTTATTTTCAAACCACATGAAGCTAGGTTGAAGGCTCACATTTAACCGAAAGAGTACAAGCAATAATTTCCTGGTAACAAGAATAAGTTTCTTAGCAAGAGGTGTCTGCTACCTTACATTAGGAATAGCTTCCTGTCAAAATGTCACTTGGCATAAACGACAGATACCAAAAATAAACCTGTGTTCCATAGTTGCTGGGTTATATACAAGGCAAATTAAATAACTGCACACTGATTAAGTCATTGATGCACAATTATTTTTAAATAGTTACTTAGGCTCCAAGGAACATCTAACCAATTGACACCAATCATGTTTATGTTTTGAATCTGGTACTGGTAAGTACCTTACACCAAGAAGCCTAAGACAGTTTCTACTCTTGTAAATCTGACACTTAATAGGATATAGAAGGCTGATGCTCTGACCCAATAATTAAGAAAGTAATAGTAAGTAAGAATGTATAACATTGGCGGGTAAAGGCATTTGCCAGAGCCTGGTGTAGAAAGGAATTCTGAGTCAATACTTGCTTTATTGTAAGGGGATAGAGGGAAGAGAGGGTCATGTTGACACTGGTGGTGTAGGTTGGCTCGGGATATTGAAGGAGTTCCATTTTGACACTGCTAGTTTCTTTGTGAAATAATAAGAAAAGAAAAAGGTAGAGAGCCCTCAGAAATTAGGAAGATTAAAAAAGGAATCATTTTACTTGTTTTATGTTGTAATTTCAAACAGGGGAAAGTTCTATCTGAGGATTATTTTCCACCTCTTTTGTTACATTTTCTTAATCAGCAAATTATTAAAATTTAGGCTAAGAAAAGTTCTCTGCCCTTTGATAAATATAACAAAAAGTGATCCATTTACAATATTAGGTTTATAGACAGCTTTTAATGTATCCAAAGGAAATCCTGAATCAAAGGTAACTTTGTTCTTATTTGGCATAATTTCTCTTCCAAATCAGTAAGGAGAGGAAAAAATGCTTAATAAAAGTGATACTCATTCTTTAAAAAAATCAATTTGTATTCATCTAAACTTATTTTGGTATAAAAAATACAGTAAAGACTAGAGCTGATTCTTTTTTTCTTTTTAAATAGCTAATCAATATTCCCATACTTTGATATTTCATAGTCCATGTTTCTCTCTATTCAATTAAATAACACATTTATCTTATTTTATATGCCATTATAAGCATAGCTCTATTTCTTAATGCTATTCTGTTATTTAACTTCGTGCCTATTCTTGCACTAGCACATTGTAAACAATTATAGTGTTTGTTAGACTTAGATTGCATAAAAATATCAGTGTAAATAAACTAAACACTTCATTAACAGGTTTTTAAAGGTATAAACACCAATGCTTGTTAGCATCTTTTACATTTAGCTGTTTCTAAATTCCATTTAAAAACTTTGTAAAAATAAATTTTAAATACCCTTCAGATACAGTTTTACTAATGTAAATCAACACACAAATGAATTTACATTTTGTCTTTGTACCCCTAAAGTGCCCAACTGGGTGAGAGCCTCCAACAGGGGTTGTCAGACACCTTATACAGGAGAGATCCTACTGGCATCAGGCTGGTACTCCTCGAGGTCTGAGGTCCCAGAAGAAGGAGCAGGCACCCATCTTTGCTGCTGTCCAGCCTCCTTGAGTGACATCTTCAGGCCAGGAGCGAATCTGATTACTGGAGCCTAATAAGTTCACCGTGAAGTGAACACCCAGCAAACTACAGCAGCCATACAGAAGAAGGACCTGACTCTTGAAAGAAAAACAAACAAGCAGAAAGCAACAACAACAGCATCAACAACAACAACAAAAGGCCCCTGCAAAAACCCCATCCAAGGGTTAGCAACCTCAAAGACTGAAACTAGACAAAGTCACGAAGATGAGAAAGAATCAGTGAAAAAATGCTGAAAACCCAAAAGGCCAGAGTGCCTCTTCTCCTCCAAATGATTGCAACATCTCTCCATCAGGGCTCAGAACTGGGCAGATGATCAGGTGAACAAGTTGACAGAAGTAGGCTTTGGAAGACGGGTAATAAAAAACTACGATAAGCTAAAGGAGCATGTTCTAACCCAATGCAAAGAAGCTAAGAACCTTGATAAAAGGTTAGAATTGCTAACTAGAATAAGCAGTTTAGACAACAACATGAATGACCTGATGGAGCTTAAAAACACTGCACAGGAACTTTGTGAAGCATACACAAGTATCAACAGCCAAATCAACCAAGCAGAAGAGAGGATGTCAGAGTTTGAAGACCGCCTTACTGAAATAAGACATGCAGACAAGAATAGAGAAAAAAGAATGAAAAAGAATAAACAAAGCCTCCAAGAAATAGGGGACTTCATAAAAAGACCAAACCTACGATTGATTGGAGTACCAGAAAGAGACAGGGTGAATGGAAACAAGGTGGAAAACACACTTCAGGATATTACCCAGGAGAACTTCCCCAACTTGGCAAGACACACCAATATGCAAATTCAGGAAATACAGAGAATACCATTAAGATACTCCATGAGAAGATCAACTCCAAGACACATAATCATCAGAGTCTCCAAGGTCAAAATGAAGGAAAAACTGTTAAGGGCAGCCAGAGGGAAAGGTCAGGTCACCAAAGAGAAGCCAATCAGACAACCAGCAGACCTCTCAGCTGAAATTCTACAAGCCAGAAGAGATTGGGGGCCAATGTTCAACATTCTTAAAGAAAAGAGTTTCCAACCCAGAATTTTATATCTAGCCAAACTAAGCTTCATAGGTGAAGGAGAAATAAAATCCTTTCCAACAAGCAAACGCTGAGGGATTTTGTTACCGCCAGGCCTGCTCTGCAAGAGCTCCTGAAAGAAATGCTAAATATGGAAAGGAAAAACCAGTACCAGCCACTGCAAAAACACAGCAAAATATAAAACCAATGACACTACAAAGAAACCGCATCAATTAGTGTGCAAAATAACCAAACAGCAGCATAGTGACGGGATCAAATTTACACATAATAATGCTAACCTTAAATGTAAATGGGCTAAATGTCCCAATTGAAAGACACATACTGGGAAATTGGATAAGGAGTCAAGACCCATGTGTGTGTTATATTCAGGAGACCTATCTTATGTGCAAAGACACACATGGGCTCAAAATAAAGGGATGGAGGAAAATTTGCCAAGCAAATGGAAAGCAAAAAAAAAAAAAAAACCAGGGCATGCAATCGTAGTCTCTGACAAAACAGATATTAAACTAACAAAGATCAAAAAGACAAAGAGGGGCATTACATAATGGTAAAGAGAAGAATTCAACAAGAAGAGCTAACTATTCTAAATATATGTACACCCAATACAGGAGCACCCAGATTCATAAAACAAGTTCTTAAGATACCTACAAAGAAACCAAAACTCCTACACAATAATAGTGGGAGACGTTAACACCCCACTGTCAGTATTAGACAGATCAACAAGAGAGAAAATTAACAAGGATATTCAAGACTTGAACTCAGCTGTGGACCAAGCAGACCTAGTGAGAAGTGAAGCCATCTGGACTTCCTGGGTCGAGTGGGGATTTGGAGAACTTTTCTGTTTTACAAGAGAATCGCAAAATGCACCAATCAGCACTCTGTAGCTATGAAGAGGATTGTAAAATGCACCAATCAGCACTCTGTAAAAATGCACCAATCAGTGCTCTGTAAAATGCACCAATCAGCAGGGGTCTAAAAGTAGCCAATCACAGGAGGATTGAAAAAAGGTCACTCTGATAGGACTCAAATGGAACATGGGAGGGGACAAATAGGGTAATAAAAGCTGGCCACCCCAGCCAGCAGTGGCAACCTGCTCACTTCCACACTGTGGAAGCTTTGTTCTTTTGCTCTTCACAATAAATCTCGCTGCTGCTCACATTTTGGGTCCATTCCATCTTTAAGAGCTGTAACACTCACCACGAAGGTCCGTGGCTCCATTCTTGAAGTCAACGAGACCATAAACCCACCAGAAGGAACCAACTCTGGACACACTACTAGACATCTAAAGAACTCTCTACCCCAAATCAACAGAATATACATTCTTCTCATTGCCACATGGCACTTATTCTAAAATTGACCATGTAATTGAAAGTAAAACACTCCTCAGCAAATGCAAAAGAACTGAAATCATAACAAACAGTCTTGCAGACCACACTGCAGTCAAATTAGAACTCAGGATTAGGAAACTCACTCAAAACCACAAAATTTCATGGAAACTGAACAATCTGCTCCTGAATGACTCCTGAGTAAATAATGAAATTAAGGCAAAAATCAAGAAGTTCTTTGAAACCAATGAGAACAAAGAGACCACATATCAGAATCTCTGGGACACAGCTAAAGCAGTGTTAAGCAGCTATAGCACTAAATGCTCACATCTAAAAGCTAGGAATGTCTCAAATTGACACCCTAACATAACAATTAAAAGAACTAGGGAGGCAAGAGCAAACTAATCCAAAAGCTAGCAGAAGATAAGAAATAACTAAGATCAGAGAAGAACTGAAGGAGATAGAGACATGAAAAATCCTCCAAAAAATGAAGAATCCAGGAGCTGGCTTTTTGAAAAAATCAACAAAATAGATACACTGCTAGCTAGATTAATAAAGAAGAAGAGAGAGAAGAATCAAATAGACACAATAAAAAATGATAAAGGAGATATCACCACTGATCTCACAGAAATACAAACTACCCTCAGAGAATACTTGAAACACCTCTATGCAAATAAACTAGAAAATCTAGAAGAAATGGATAAATTCCTGGATGCATACTCCCTACCAAGACTAAACCAGGAAGAAGGTTCATCCTTGAGTAGACCAATAACAAACTCTGAAATTGAGATGGTAATTAATAGCATACCAAACCAAAAAAAAAACTCCCAGGACCAGATGGATTCATAGCTGAATTCTACCAGAAATACAAAGAGGAGCTGGTACCATTCCTTCTAAAACTATTCCAAATAATTGAAAAGGAGGGACTCCTCCCTAACTCATTTTATAAAGCCAGCATCATCTTGATACCAAAACTGGGAACAGACACAGCAAAAAAAGAAAACTTCAGGCCAATATCACTGATGAACACTGATGCAAAAATCCTCAATAAAATAAAGACAAACTGAATCCAGCAGCACATCAAAAAACTTATCCACCACAATCAAGTCGGTTTCATCCCGGGGAAGCAAGTCTGGTTCAAAATATGCAAATCAATAAATGTAATCCATCACATAAACAGGACCAAAGACAAAAACCACATGATTATCTCAATTGATGCAGAAAAGGCCTTTGATAAAATTCAACATGCTTTCATGCTAAAAACTCTCAATAAAATAGATATTGAGGGAATAGATCTCAAAATAATAAGAGCTATTTATGGCAGACCCACAGTCAATATCATGTTGAATGGGCAAAAGCTGGAATCACGCCCTTTGAAAACTGGTACAAGACATAGATGCCCTCTCTCACCACTCCTATTCAGCATACTATTGGAAGTTCTGGCCAGGGCAATCAGGCAAGAGACAGAAATAAAGTGTATTCAAATAGGAAGACAGGAAGTCAAGTTGTCTCTGTTTGCAGACAACAGGATTTTATATTTGGAAAACCCCATTATCTCAGCCCAAAAGCTTCTTGAACTGATAAGCAACTTCAACAAAATCTCAGGATACAAAATCAATGTGCATAAATCACAAACATTCCTTTATACTAACAATAGGCAAGCAGAGAGCCAAATCTAGAATGAATTCCCATTCACAATCACTACAAAGAGAATAAAATACCTAGGAATACAGCTAACAAGGGATGTGAAGGACCTATTCAAAGAGAACTACAAACCACTGCTCAAGGAGATAAGAGAAGACATAAGCAAATGGAAAAAGACTCCATCCTCATGAATAGGAAGAATCAATATCATGAAAATGGCCATACTGCCTAACGTAATTTATAGATTCAATGCTATTCACATCAAACTACCATTGACATTCTTCACAGAATTAGAAAAAAGTATTTTAAATTACATATGGAATCAAAGAATACCCCATGTACCCAAGAAAATCCTAAGCAAATGGAACAAAGCTGAAGGCATCATGCTACCTGACTTCAAACTATATTACAAGACTGCAGTAACCAAAACAGCCTGGTACTGGTACCTAAACAGACATAGAACAATGGAACAGAACAGAGACCTCAGAAATAACACCACACATCTACAACCATCTGATCTTTGACAAAGCTGACAAAAACAAGCAATGGGGAATGGATTTCCTGTTCAGCAAATGGTGCTGGGAAAACTGGCTAGCAATATGCAGAAAACTGAAACTGGACCCCTTCCTTACACCTTATACAAAAATTAACTCAAAATGGATTAAAGACTTAAATGTAAAACCCAAAACAATGAAAACCCTAGAAGAAAACCTAGGCAATACCATTCAGGGTATAGGCACAGGCAAAGAGTTCATGACAAAAATGCCAAAAGCAGTTGCAACAAAAGCCAAAATTGACAAATGGAATCTAATTAAACTAAAGAGATTCTGCACAGCAAAAGAAACTATCATCAGAAAGAACAGGCAACGTATAGAATGGGAGAAAATTTTTGCAATCTACCCCTCTGACAAAGGTCTAATATCCAGAATTTACAAGGAACTTAAACATATTTACAAGAAAAAAAAAACAACCCCATCAAAAAGTTGGCAAAGGATGTGAACAGACACTTCTCAAAGGAAGACATTTACACAGCCAACAAACACATGAAAAAAAGCTCATCATCACTGAGCATCAGAGAAATGCAAAACAAAACCACAATGAGATACCGTCTCACGCCAGTCAGAATGCTGATTATTGAAAATCAGGAAACAATAGATGCTGGCGATTATGTGGAGAAATAGTAACACTTTTACACTGTTGAAGGGACTGTAAATTAGTTCAACCATTCTGGAAGATAGTATGGAGATTCCTCAAGGATCTAGAACCAGAAATACCACCTGACCCAGCAATCCTATCACTGAGAGTATATACCCAAAGGAATATAAATCATTCTACTATAAAGACACATGTACACATATATTTATTGCAGCACTATTTACAATGTCAAAGACATGAAACCAACCCATATACCCATCAGTGATAGACTGGATAAATAAAATGAGATACATATACACTATGGAATACTATGCAGCCATAAAAAGAAATAAGATCATGTCCTTTGCAGGGCATGGATGAAGCTGGAAGCCATCATCTTCAGCAAGCTAACACAGGAACAGAAAACCAAACACTGTATGTTCTCACTCATAAGTGGGAGTTGAACTTTGAGAACACATGGACACAGAGAGGGGAACAACACACACCAGGGCCTGATGGGGGGTGGGGGTGAGGGGAGGGAACTTAGAGGACCGGTCAATAGGTGCTGTGAACCACCACAGCACACATATACCTGTGTAAAAAACCTGCACGTTCTGCACGTGAATTCCATTTTTTATTTTAGAAGAAAGAAAAATTAAAAATTAAAAAAATAAGATGAAATAGTCCCTTGTAGTTAAGATATGTATCGTCTATTGAAATGGTATATTAGAAAATATTATAGGACTAGAATTTTTCTCACTTTGCTTAAATATAATTTTATATTGTTCTGCTCTAAGGGAAAATGCTTAGAGAGAAATCAAATGAAAGGACTATTTTCTGCTTCACTATACAGCATGAATGAGGCTAGAGTATATATTCAGAAGAAATCTGCATTCAGCTATTCAGGGGACTTCAGAGATTCCAGTGATTGTGTGTGTGTATATGTGCGTGTGTGTATATGTGTGTGTGTATGTGAGACAACGATTCTTTGTTTTCTTTAGCTACAAATGGCATTATAAAACTATAGCTCAATGTAGGACTTTTTGTTGTTTTTATAATTATGCCTCATTCTGTAGAAATACACTTACCACTATACGTACCATCAATTTTGAAGGTTAACCAATGGTGAATAAATTCATAGTAAGACTAAATTTTCCCTTCAGTGATACATTCTTAAATATAGTTTCTATTATTCCCATGCATCACTGGCTTGAAGCAGTTCACAGCACTGTTTTTTTCTAGCCAAGTTTCATTCATTGGCTAGATTCACCCATCCTGGCAACAGAATACATAGAGCTGTCCTTTCTTCCAACTCTTGACTTTCTTTATCCCCACTCACCTCCCTGCTTTTACCTCCTCCGCCTACCATCTCCTGTCTGAATCTTATGTCTGCAAGCTCCTCCTGTGTTACCTTTAATAGTTTGGGAGCTATGCTTGAAGTTCCTCTTTGATTTCCTTGAGGTAAATATTTACTGAAATATTCAGTAAATATATCCTATGTTTTATTTAATTGGTTGGCTTTGTTTTTGCTTAAGTTAGGCGAAGACAATTTATGTCACTTACAAGGAAAGAACCTTAACTACTATGGAAATCAATTTGTAACCCTCTTATAATATGGGAAAACAAAGCTTCATTAGTTGCTCAGTGAATAAGGAGTTGAAATTATTTTGCTGAAAACGGTGACATTCTCAGAATAATTGGATTCGAGCCAGAAATACTGCTGGGACAGCTGCTAAATTAACTGAACAAATCAGAGGGTAAACAAATCACCCTAGGACCACTTCCTTCTAAATGTCTGCCTTTGGAAATTTATTTCCTAAGTCTATCGGTTAGAAATTCCAGGTTGATTTTACCACAATGAACAAATATATCCCCAGTTTCCTCTGCTGTTCTTTTTTTCTTGTTTTTCTTTTTTTGATAACATTTATTATAATTACACCTTACTTTTCAATATAGTCTTTTTTTTAAATAAAAACTCCTCAAGTATCAAGTTCTTATTATAATCTTCCAGTATACTTAGTACCTGATACAGTCCCTGAGAACATAGTAGACACTCAAGATAATTCTGTGAAATGAATAAATGAGAAAATGAATGGGTTATTTTAAAAAGATAACATCAATTTTCTCCTAATAGTGATTACTGTTCTCTTTGCATTCACCCTTTATATAATAACCGTGGCCCCTTCAGTTCAGAGAGAATCCATTTAATAATTCCACAAATATACAGCAAGTGTCTTTATGAGGCTCTGTAGGGACTCGGCTAGTAATAAATTCTATATTCCTCAAGAATCTTTTATCGTAGCTCAGCTTTTTCTCAGCCTTGACCCCTGGAAGGTCCATGGAGGGGCACTAGGAATTCACACATCTTTTCTACATGCCTAAGTACATTATTTTTCTGGGGAAAAATTTCAGAGCTTTCACCAGATTCTCACTAGGGGACAAAATTCAAGAAATATTGGACACAGTAATACCAACAAATACACTCACCAAATAGTTAATGGTTAAAGAAGCATTATATGTTACATAGCCAATGAATCAAGGAGACATTAGTGTTGCTGGAGTTGAAAGAAAGGAGTGATTGAAAGAGATAGCCTGAGGGTTGGGTGCTGTGGCTCATGCCTGTAATCCCAGCACTTTGGGAGGCCAAGGCAGGTGGATCACTTGAGGTCAGGAGTTCAAGACCAGCCTGGCCAACATGGTGAAACCCCGTCTCTACTAAAAATACAAAAATTGGCCAGACATGGTGGCACACACCTGTAATCCCAGCTACTAGGGAGGCTGAGGCAGGAAAATTGCTTGAACCCGGGAGGTGGAGGTTGCAGTGAGCCGAGTTCACACCACTGCTCTCCAGACTGGAAGACAGAGTGAGATTCCATTGCAAAAAAATAAAAAATAAAAAATATCCTGTACTGGAGAGAATTTCACAGAAGTAGTAAAAGTTCGTAAGTGGGTTGGATTTAGACAGTTAAAGTGAAGGGAAGAGGGGATGTTTCCAGAAAATGAGACCTCTTAGGATGGAAAGAATATGTGTCTGAAGTAGGTACAGTTTGGATAGCTTCATTTCTATATTGAGCCAAGACTAAGGTATAAAGAGCTTCTCACTGCTCTTATTAGGAATACTTACTAAATAAAAAATACAAGAAAATACACAACACATTGGCTAGATGCTAAGGATACAGTCAATGCTAACCTCAAATGTTATGAGTTCACCTGGGAAACAGGTGAGTTACAATACATTGTATTGAATGTTAGGATAGGAATATCTATAAAAGCATATTGGAGCTTAAGTTAATTAGTCAGAAATACTTTGTCACAAGGTTAATCAGAAATGTCTCTGATCAATAAAATTTACACAAAAGGTGAGAGGTGAGATGTATAAAGAAAGTGAAAAGGTATTTTAGACAGAAGAACTGAATGAAAGAAACTCTGAAAATGTAAAGCTGCCATTAGTGGAGTGTCTTGGAGGACAGATATGTGGAGGCAACAGACAAGGGAGAGAAATATCTTGAGTATAATGCTAAGGAGCTCTGATTTTATCTGGAAAGTCCACATTATGATGAGACATTAGTGGTCTCATTAGTGGACTTCGGAATGCCCTTCCTTTTTAAATCTTAATCAAGTGGTTATTTTAGTTTAAAAACAAAAATCAGAAAAACTGCTTTTGTGTCAAAATTTAACAGAGTTTTTATTTAAATAACTGAAAAAGTTATTTGTGGATTGCCTATTTGGCTTCTGTGCTTAACTCTAAGATGAGAAAGAGTGTTTGAAACACAATATTGGCTTTAAGCCTTAGAAAGAATTAAGTGATCCCCATTAAAGGCCATCCTGAAAGGCTGATGAAGGATTTAGAGAAGCTTGGTTTGACTGTGGGCCTAACTGGACATATTACCCTAATGGGGCATTTAACGTCTCTGGGCATCAGTTTAATCATCAGTAAAATTAAGGATTTCAGTAAGAGCAATGATTTCAAGTGGTGTAGTTTGAACATAGCCCCCAAATTTCATGTGTTGGAAACATAATGCCAAATTTATATGTTAATGGTAACAAGAGGTGGGGCCTTTGGGAGGTAATTAGGATTAAATATGTCATCAGGATGAGACTGCTATAATGGGATTGTAGCTTTTAAGAACAGGAAGAGAGACCTGAGCTAGCACACTTACTCTGCCTTGCCACGTGGTGCTTCCTGCCATGTCATGACACAGCAGGAAGACCCTCACCAGATGCTGTCACCATGTTCTTGGACTTCTCAGCCTCCAGAATTGTGAGCTAAGTAAACCTCTATTCTTTATAAATTACCCAGTCTATGGTATACTTTTATTGCAACAGAAAACAAACTAAAACACAAAGCATTGTGGAATTCACAAACTTGTTCTTCAAAAAGAGAAACAACAGTTGGAAAGATTATGTAACATTTATAAATATTTTTATTTTATATAACAAAGAAATAAACAAGAAAACGGGCAAACAAAGCAGCATTAACAAATAAATGTTATTTATTATTATCAATATCTTCTGAAAGAAAGAATAATGTGACACCCACAATATGAATAAAATGTGTTTTATTGAAAAATCCACTCCATTATCCTTATTTTTCTCAACATGTGGTATAGTGTCGAAACTTGATCTTTCACAGGCACCAGTCTGTTGACAGGTTTGAGAATCTCTGCCTTTCCCCATCCAAGCTGCTCATTAACATCACCTGGAGAGCTTTATAAACAAAACTACCAATGTTCAGCGCTAGTCTCGACCAATAACAATGACTTTCTGTATACAAGGCACAGACATCTGCATTTTTTCTTTCCCCTATATGATTCCAAGCCGCTCATTAACATCACCTGGGGAGCTTTATAAACAAAAGTACCAATGCACACGCCTAGTCCAGTCTAATAACGTTGACTTTCTGTATGTGAGACCCAAACATCTACATTTTTTCTTTCCCCTGTATGATAGCCAGAGTTGAGGAAACATTGTTCCTAACACTTCTAAAGTACCTTCAGGCAATAAGATTATGTAACATTTAACTTGTCCCAATCTTAGAACATTACACAATAGGAATTTTCTCTCCTTCATGGGAAACCTCAGAATTACTTTCACTGGTTTATTTAATCTCTGCTTATGGATAGGAAAATGAAATATTTTGGGTTCTAAATAACACTGAGTGTATTTCTCAGAACAAGATTTACATATTAAATCACAGTTCTTAATTTTCTGTAAGTGTCCAAATTCTTTGTTTCTGTTTGGTTAATAGCTTTGCCAAGATCTCCAAGAGTTGTAATTTATTTCATTAAAGTAATTTTGGCCAGTAAACACCTCATCCCAACAATCAAAGTTAATTACTATCATAAAGAGACTGCTGGAGGAAAAAGTCCAGGCTAGAATTCAAATATTGACTTCTTTTTCTAATTTAAACTGTGTAAAGTGAGGTCATAGGTGAGAGAAAAATCATTTTGCCCTATTGAATAAACCAGACAGCAATACATATTTCAAAGCCAGTTTTCTTTGCTCGGAATGACATGCTCTGTTTTCTTCAGACAGAAGTTTAGGGGATTCATAAGACAATTTTAATTAATGGGCTCACTCAACCATAAAATAAGTACATTTGTCTTGTAGTATAATAAAGTATATCAGGAATCTAAGAATTATGCCAATGCTTATATTTATTAAAAGAAAATACCACTGTTATAGGAAAACTACTTTTAAAAAGGTGTGTTATTAATAGCAAAAATGTTGGCTAATATACATGATGGCTTTGAAATTTTCAGGGAGAAAAAAAGTGAATGTAACTGTATTGACAACCGAAATTTAATCTAAATAAATCTATGCTTCTAATTTTCTTGTGATTAAAATGATCTATTGTACTACTTTCAAAGTCTAAATCACAGATTTATAAATTTTATCAGGGTTGACATTTCAATCATATATATACATTTCTCTCTCTCTCTGTCTCCATGTGTATAGGTACACATACAAATCTGAAATTTAAAAATCAATATTAAAGCAGTATTTTTTAAAAGGTTTATACAGCCTCTCTGCAACACCCAAAATTTGAGGGAATAAAAAAATAAAACTTCACTTCAGCTTATGAGCCCCAAAGTCTCAAAATCCTAAAGTCTTTTTGTTCATTAGATTTATAAACCAGTAAGAAAATATCTATTAGTTGTACCAAATCACAACTAATCAGCCCAATTAAATCTTTTGGTCTGGTGGAGAAGGCAGTATAAGGGAAATTCATTAGCTGGTATTTTAAATCTGTGATACTCATTTTTTATGGCTAAGGTTCACAGGCATATGTTTTACTTCATGACTCCATATTCACAAACTATATTTCTGCGTATATATGTATATAGAAAATTTTTAAAGCTCATACTTTTTATTGTAATCTAATTTTTTAAACATTAGATTAACTACATCAGTTTTAATACCTACTAAGAAATGTCTGTAGTCTACAATGCATTACATTTTTTTTCTCCCCTTGGGTTCCAGAAAGTTTACATCCATTTTGTGATCAATTGCATCAGGCTTTTTAACTTATATGCTACAGTAATTCCACCTATCACAAGAGTCATGACCAATATTTCCAAACAAAGACAGGTTAACAGAGAAAAACACAACAAATTCATTTAATCAAAGCTTTACCTGATCCAAAGAAGTGAAGCCAAAGACCCAAGGAAAATTATGTATTTTTATGCCAAGTGTAAACGAAAAAAGTGGATAGTTGTGAAGAAACATGATTGGACAAAAGGGTGTCAGCTAATGGTAATATACTGAAGGGATCTTGGCAAAGCCTGTTTGTTCAGATCCTCCTTGGCCTGTCTGTGTAGCATTTCTTCCCCCTGGGTATGAGGCAGAACCCCTCTGGAAAGAGGGTCTTATGACTGACGTTCAGGGAAGGTAGGTCAGAAAGGGACCTTTCTAGATTTTATGGCTTGCTATGGGGGAGAGGAGTTCTAGTTGCTATGATCTGCTTCAGGGGAGAGAATCCTGGTTTCTATTACATGACTTAGGGGAGAAATGGGAGCCGAGGAGAAATGGGAGCTGGAGAAAAGAGCATAGGAGAAGATTAAAGAGACCTTGCTTCTGAGGGCCTCCCAATTGCCTTTAGTTCAAAGGACTCAGCATGCCAATGTGCCATCCTTTGGGGCATCCTTCCCCCACTTGGTTTCCAGAAAGCAGCCCTGACATATATTTAACTACCTCTCCAAAACATTATTTAGAGCTTATTTTAGTTTATTGCAAGTGATTTCAAATATGATTGAGAAATAGCCAATTTATAATGACAAATTAAAAGAATAAACAGGACACATTTTCTTTTTTATTTTAGTTTAGTTTATTATTATTATACTTTAACTTTTAGGGTACATATACACAACGTGCAGGTTTGTTACATATGTATACATGTGCCATGTTGGTGTGCTGCACCCATTAACTCGTCATTTAGCATTAGGTATATCTCCTAATGCTATCCCTCCCCCCTTCCCCCACCCCACAACAGTCCCCGGGGTGTGATGTTCCCCTTAAACAATCTGTTTTCAAGATTTTCTCTTATTTCCATAGGTTGGATAAACTCTATACTAGGATTGATTCTTCACATTAGTACTGCAGAAACAAAGTATTCGACCAAATTTTTCAAAAGATAATTTAAAAGTTTCACCTAAAACTGCATGTTTCCACAATTATATTTTAATTAGATATTGGGAGATCCAAGCTTACCAAAATCTAATTCCCAAAAAAGCTCAGAAAAGCAAAGAAATAGCTAAGATTCAATATGTACGCTTAAGGTTTTACACAAAATTGTTTTTACATATCAACAAATGGGCTTGAATATTTCTTTCTCACAACATGATATCACTGCTTAAACTGGAAGCAGCACACATTTCCCAAGACTGGCTTTCTATGAAGAATGAAACTGACATGCCTTTCAGATCTCTGTGGCTACACAGATGTACATGCCCACTGGCAGCTGTGCAGCTTGACCAGCCCTAGACACTCAGGTCAGCTCAGTACAAACTTTGAAGTCCAAATACCCACATCTACTGCACTTGAAGATCTTTGGTGCTTCAAAACTGGCTATTGAGATTTTGTGTATGCCAAGTACACCAGACACTGTTCTGTTCGTGTGCTGACTATCCCTTACTCTCCCAATATTTCTTTATGAGGTACCAAGGAGTTCCCTTCCTCTGCAGGACTTGAGTTTCTCCTCATCACAAGCTTGAATCCTCTGTTCTGTTTGGTATTTGCTTAAGACATCTTGGAGGTGTGACCCATGCTATCATGGCTTACTCTGACCAGGGGACTCTTGGAAGCCACATCGCCTATGTGTCTTCCAAGTTGGTAGCTCCCTTCTAAGCCCACATTAGGATAATTCCAAAGAACTGCAGACAAGCATGAAGACAGAAAATTATCTTTTTTCTATATCTAGTCAGTCCTTGCCTTGATTGCTTTCTTTATTTCTTTATTTAACACGTACTTCTGCATATATACAGAGATCTGGAAGATTCCATCTATCTGACAACTTATGGAAACATCTGATTTTATGAATTATACCTTTCATTGAGTGATGTTAAAACAACAGATTGATCTCTGCCTTCAGATATGTCTTCCCATTACTTGGCTTCCAACTATTTGTTCTCTCAGGCTTCTTGCATTTTCTTGAGCTCTACTTCCAGCTCTGTTTCATTTACTTACTTTGAACCCCAAGAACACTGATAACTAGCCTTCGGACTAGGGTTACTGAAGCCTCAGGATGTTCCTTTGTTGGCTGGAGGAAATAGCATAAGCTCTGGCTTTGGTCTTGGCTGGTCTTGTGGCCTGTGGCAAGGACCAGATTGTCAGCACGGTACATTGACAGCCCAGAGCATCATGAGCTGTAATCGGAGTGGAGAATACTCAGTTCACGCACATCATCCACTTATTTAATATCAAATCCTTTCTATTTAAGTTATTAGTAGCCTGAAAAGCAAAGGTCACTGATGACCTTTAGAAAATATTAATTTCCAAAGAATAAAGTTTAAAACATTCCTTTAAGAAACACTTGATTCTGAATAAAATGGGGGTAAGATGACAATAAAATAGCTCCTTGAGCTACATAATAAAAAATGCAAAGATATTTACTTATAATTTTCCTTCTACCTCATTTATGTAATTTGTCTCTAAATCCTTGCAATTAATCTTTACTTATACTTCTTATACCCATCCTTACCCCCACAGACCTACTGTCACATCCTTAATTAATTTCCTTATCATCTGATACCTTGACTATTGCAATTATTTTTAAGGCAGCCTTTCTAATTTGTTTTACTTGCCTGTCTCATCATACATCACACTGATTCCAAGCTGATAATTTACAATTTGCCAGCCTATTTTCATATTCTGCATGGATTAGGTGTCAAAAAGAGAATCTAGAAAGGAAGAACCATATCGTCAATGTCATGTGACCTGATCCATCTCCCTTGTGGCTCCTGAGAATGGCAGGCACTGAATGCCAACAGCACATCCAGTCACAAAGCTCCAGGCGGTGCAACCTCAAAAATAATTCCTCAGATGGGATAATGCACATGCAAAAGGCAAGGAAAAAAACCAGACATATCTGATAAAATTGATATCTTCTGATAGTTATAAGTGATTATTTTTAAAATTGAATGGTGGGTAAAATTTTGGACTGGGAGACTATTTAAACTAAAACTTAGGGACAAATCTAAGAACATCAAATTACCCATTTCCTTCCTATGTTGCAATTCAAGTTGAAAAACTAAAGTGGCACATAACCTTTGGTAAAGATAATTCACTTATTTTCATGCTCTGATAGGATACTCATAGGAAGAATGAAGAGATGATTCAACATGCAAAATATTAATCTCATCTCATATATTCACTGCTATAGGAGAATGTGATGAAAGTTCTTTGAGGAACTAGAATTAGAGTGGCAAACAATAACCAAGGAACCAAAGATATAAGATGGTGATTGCAAAGAGCAGAGATGAGACTAAAGAAGGGAAAAAGAAGCAGAAAACCTAAGAAGCATTCTGTAGAAAGGAAAGACTCAGAAAGAGCCTTTGCTCAGCTCTAGAGGCTGCTTCCTTTTCAAAATGGAAGAGAGTAAACTATGAATCGTAAGTTACCCTATCAAAATTTAAAAAGCACATAGGTTATGATGTGGCTATTTCACTCCTAGAAAATATTTCTGAATATGAAAATACATAAACAAAGATGTTTATTGCAGCATTTCTTAATGTGAGGGACACTCTGCACATTGAAATATCAGGTAAAATGAAGTAAAAACTATATCCACACAGGGAAGGATATGATTGTGCAGAACAAAGTGATTCTGCAGAAGAAAAGAATAGGTTGTGAATGGTTTCATTATTCTGCAAATTTTAATTTTATTTATTAAATATTCTCAAACATTAGATACCTTCTATGGGTAAGTTATTGGACATACACTACAAACCTTCCTCCACAAGGTTAATTTAGCTACTAAAGCATTGCAACAAAAATCTCTCTTAGTTTAGGGTGGTTAATTTATTTAAATTCCAGTTTCCTCCATTAGGTTGTAAGATCTTAATGACCTCTATGTATCCACTAAGCATAGCCCAGTATCTGTCACGTTAAGACTAAAAATAATTACGTGATTTATTATTTATTCAAAGAATTCAGTGCGTCAAAACATATATTCAGGCTAACTTACCTCTCTTGACTCCTGTTTTCTATTACAGGGTGAAAACCTTTCAAATCTTCTTGTACTTTCCCACTGACAGTTGAACTGAACATATTGAGAGAAGAGCAGTTTCATTTTGTTCCAGCCAGTTTTATAGGAAAATAACAAAGCAATATAGGAACTGTCAACTCAGTACTTTAAACTCTCAACCTGTGAGGTTCTAAGGGCAAACTACCGTCAAATAATGAATAAAATACCACAATGGCCTTAGACGAGATGTAACAAATTTTAGATTTGTGATTGTATATTCATACTTAAGGTAAACACACATGCAAAAAAACTATTGAAAGTATTGTAACATACTGATATTTTCTCCCTATTTATAATCTACTATTCAAGTCACTGAACCTGAAACAATTTGTCTCTTTCATTACACATCTTGACTTAAATGCTGCTGAAAATCAGATTGAGAAAACAGTCTCAACTGACTTTCCTAAAGTATTTCAGGGAATAAAAAAATTAAATGACACAATATTTTCTAAATCATATATATTGTGTTTTTTTCCTTTCCTTGATGTAGCTAGGCTAAGACATCCAGGACACTGTTGAATCTAAGTCATGATATGAAAGACATTTATGTTGTCTTCTTATTCTTCAAGTTAAATGCATAAAAATTTTACCATTAAACCTAAAGTTTAGAGTCAATTTTCTGTATGTGTGCGTATATGCATGTATGTATGCATTCATATACAATTATATAGGTAATTTAGGGAGGAAGTATAAAATCATATACACACAAATTATCAGAATTAGAGAACATGGAAAGTTGTTGGATACAAAATCAATATATATAAGCAATCACTGTTATGTATAATTGTATCAAGTAATCAGTGAACTTTTAAATGTTACCATTTACAATGGTATCAAGAATATTTAGTATTTAGTAATAATATATCAAAAGAGCTACAGAATTTTTGTAGCAAAAATCATAAAACTTTAATAAAGGACATTATTAAAGATATAAATACATAAACATGTCATTCTCATGGATTGAAAGATAATATTTCAAAAATAGAAAAACAACACAAATTCACTAAAATATTCAATGTAATCCAATCAGAATCATACAGTATTTTGATTGGGAAAAGGGGAAGTGGAATGGAAGACATCCAAAAATACATATGAAATTCTTAATGGAAAAAAGCAAGTTTGAAGGATTTGCCTTAAGGGATATCAAAATTTATATTAACATTATAAACTTAAGTGAATTTAGTATTGGTACAGAATTAGGAAAAGAATTTAATGGAACATAATCGAGAGCACATAAATGGACCCAAACCTCTAACAAAGATGGGAAAAGGTAGATGTTTCAATAATTGCTATTGGGACAATTGCATAACCATGTTAAAAAGAAAAAGTGAAATTGAATCTTCTTCTCAGATTAAAGAAGACTGGCCCATGAAGTTTAAGTCAGATGCTGCTCCTAAGGTGCTCCTGGGAGAGCATGGAGAGGCTGACTGTATTTGGGTCCATGCTAATATTTCTGACCTGGCCTCTCCATTCAGCTGCAATATCATGTTCATAATCGTGGACACTGCAAACACTTGAAGTCCCCAGTGAGAGTAGCTAGCATATTCTGCTGATGATGAACAAGTCAGACCATCTGCCTCCAGTGGGACCTGTTCCTATTGCTAGCTTCATCCCCACCTCTACCACCCTGCTATTTGCTTCTGTCCTGCCTGGCCAGAAAAGTGGACAGTCTTCTGAATTTACTGAGGAAAACTCTGATTACACTGTGTGGGGCTTGTCCATGGCTCTCCACACAGTCATAACTAATAAACCAGTAAAATATAATAAAAAATATTCAATGCAAAAGGAGGCAAAGAAAGGGAAAAAGCAGCAAAGAATGAATGAAACAAATAATTAAGGAAACATAAAGATGGTAGGTTTAAACCCAAACATAAAAATGACATTAAATATTAATTGTCAAAATACCCTAAATAAATGGCAGAAATTTTCAGTTTAAATTACAAAATAAAAATGGACAACAACAAAAACCCCAAATGCCTAATTCTGTGCTGTGAAAAAGAAACACATTTAAATATAAATACATAAATAGGCTAAAACTAAAAATACGGAAGAAGATATAGCATGCTAATTTCAAAAGAAATCTGGGGGTGCAATATTAATATCAGACTGGAAGTCCAAGGAATTCCATACAGAATAAACCAAAGAAAACACACCAAGGCACATCATCATCAAATTGCTGAACCATAAAGAAAAAGTCTTACACTGAGACAGGAAAAAAAAAAAGCCACATTGCCTGTAGGCTAATAGCAGTGAGGCTGACTGCTCTTCATCAGAAACAATGCAAGCCAGAAGACACTTTTTTTAAGCGATTAAAATACCAGGGGCACTAAAAGGAGTCCTGAAATTTTATATCAGGAAAAATATATGTCTAAAATCAGGTGAAATGAAGGCACTTTAAACAATGAAGAACTAAAATAATTTGTCACCAGCAGACTTGCACTTCAGGCAATATTAAAAGAAGTTCTTCTGGCTGAAGAAATATAATACCAGATACAATTTCAGATGTATATAAAAGAAAACAGAATACTGGAAACGGTAAATATGTAAATAAATAGATTGATCCCTATAAACACAATTGTTTAGGGCAAAAATAATTGCTTATTTTTAAATAATAATCAGTAGGAAGAAGGGATAAGAATATACTGTTGGCCAGGTGCCATGGCTCACTCCTGTAATCTCATCAATTTAGGAGGCCAAGGTGGGTAGGTCATGAGATCAGGAGTTTGAGACCAGCCTGGCCAATATGGTGACACCTCGTCTCTACTAAAAATACAAAAATTAGGCGGACGTGGTGGGGCACACCTGTAGTCCCAGCTACTCGAGAGGCTGAGGCAGAAGAATCGCTTGAACCCGGGAGGCGGAGGTTGCAGCAAGCTGAGATTGTGCCACTGCACTCCAGCCTGGGCAACAGAGCGAGACTCTGTCTCAAAAAAAAAAAAAAGTCACAATAATTTTCTCATTTCAAGAAGATAATTTAGCTGTCTATGTCCAAAATTGTAATATATCTGCTCCTCTTGATCACCAAGATTCTTAATTGCTTCATCAAAGCATATTTCCAAATGGTATCTGACATGAACTCTCAGTTTTATTTTACATACCAACCACACTCTTTTCAAAAAACACATCTGCTTCCTTTCTGTAGTTTTCCAAAATACAACCTTCTAGTTAACTTTTTTGTTTTTCATTTTCTTTGTTGTTTCTGCTTTTTTGCTAAATGTTCTTTTGTGGGCTTCTCTTTCTTGGCACATATCTTCAATGTTGGTAATGTGTGTGTATCTATTTGCTTGTATTAGCTCTCTTTCTTTCCAAACAATACACTGATTCGGGCACTTTCTCACAGTGACATCAAACATTGGTTATATATCTGATGATTTCAAAATTAAAAGCCCCTAGAAAGAATACAGTCTTGAATATGTCAAAGATTCTTAAACATGAACCAACTGCAATCAATTAAAAAATGTCATCTGTTCTTGAATTTTCCAGAGAAGATGGTCTATACCTTATATTAGAATCCCAAGATATTTGTAATCCTAAAATTTAAAGGCAATGACTTTAAAATATGTCATTTTTAGATAAAAATTATTTATATGCCATATAAAATATGTTTTGTTTCCATGTACCTTTTTTATATCACAGTATTCTTAACATCATATTTCAGCAGCTGACTGTGGCCATTGCTAAATTCTACAAACGGGGGTCCCACATGTTTGGGAAAACTTGAAACTGATGAACAATACCATAATTCTCCCATGTGTACCTATCTCAAATCACCAAGCTACCAGAACAGCCAGATGTTTCTGCACTTAAGCATAAAATATACACATACAACCAACAATATGTTTGAAATATCAGGATTTTGTTACTATGTGCACAATCAAATTAGAGTAGGGCAATGACATTTTAGTCAAAAGTATCCGTAACCCTGTCTGCTTAGGCAAAATTATCTGGCATGTATTTCTTTCAATTGCCTAATACATGTCCTTCAAATATATTTCAAGGGGGTCCTTCCATGGTCCTTTGTTTTGCCATTTTAAGTTGAAAATTAAAATTTGCTCTGGTACTTGCAGCCTACATCTGTTTCTTACTTGTACAGCTGTGAAAAGCAAGTTTAATTTCTGTTTAGGAGTCATGAGCTTTTTATCTGCCATTCTTCAGTTCCTATTGAGTGCCTTGTATTCATTAAATCCATAGAACCAGGAAGCTATATTTCAATATTGGCTGATTTTTTAATCATTAGGCATGTCTAAAGATAGTAGATAGTGTTCCATAATGGATGGCACATATGTATGCTAATATATTCTTACTGAACCTACATGGAGAGAGTTATGCAATCCATTAGTGTCAATTAAATTTTGCCATTGAACACAAGCTAATCTATATGAATACTTAGGAAACAAAGGTAAACAACTTTTGAAAATAAGATAACGGCTTTTTCTCCTCACAATTTTTTCAGCTCTGGCAATAAGTAAACCACAATTGAACTTGGTTATTAGATGCTTGAAAGAAACTGGCAAAAAAATTATATTCTTTCTCATATTATTTACTGTTTCTAGAATTTTTAAGACCCATGGGTATTCCATACTTTCATCAGGAGAACATTTGATGAGTAATACATGCTTTGCATTTGTAGAGGACAAATCATTCTGCTAGGTTAAATGGTTCAAGATCATGACAACTTGATAATTTACCTTTAGCATTATCATGGTGGAAAGCATTACTGTCAATAGTAAAAGTGGGTGGCTACTACAGACATAAGGTTTATTCTGTGCTGGCATAAATAATTTCATAGACATTAACATCTAGAAAGTGGGAAGGGTTTGTGACTGTGCCACAGTAGTAATAAATTATGAAATATATTAGTAGGAGACATACAGAAAGAAATAACCAAAACCTATCTCTAAAAGGTGCCAAGATCTAATTAAAGATAGAAAAATATTTTTTTTCACTTTTTACACCAAGTTCTGCTTTTCTTAATGTTAAAAACCACTTTTTATACAATTGGCACAGATGAGTCCTTTGGAAGTGGGCAAACATCAATATAAATGTGATGATAAACAGCAAAAAAAGCACTGAACAAAATAAGCTGCTCTCAGCCTATCCTTTAAAACTTCATAGAAAACATGCAAAGGACTAGAGAAATTATGTCAACAGGCTTGTTAAAAGGTAGAACATTTCTAGGCAAACTGCCCCCGACACACACACATCAAACAAATCACCAAAGCCTACCTCTAAAATTATAGCTCAGGAATATTTCCCAGTATAGTCCTCCTTCTCTCCACCCACCACCACTGCCTTAGTTCAGGTGCGGTTCTACTGTTCTACTGCAATTGATTTTCTTAGTAGGCTCCTCTTGTCTCCTTGGCACCAGTTGCTGCCTTTTTCAATCCATTCTCTACAAAGCTAGAAGTTTGTATTTTGAATTGAGTCCTGATTTGTTGTTTTCCCCCTTAATTAGATTTCTAGTGGCTCAAAGCTGCTTAAAGGATAAAACTTAAAATTCTTAACATGATTTACAAGGCACTTCACACTTTGCAATTGCGATCTGCAAATCATCCACTGTAACCTTCGTCTACATGTCTGGTTACAACCCTAGATTTTGGTGAAGAGAAAATCATATTTTATGCATCCCTTCACCCCTATTACCTTGTGTAGTTCCTGAGACGTAATTCATGTCGCATAATTACAGGACTCAATAATTTTTTAATAAAATAATGAATTTCAGGACATAAAAGTTTAAATTGATATCTAAATAAATATAAAAACACAAAATTAAACATTTTTCTAATAAAAAAATCTCAACCATAGATTTTAAATCTTGGAAACAACATAGCATAAAAGAGAGCACATTAGAGAATGAGTTAGTCTGGGAAAATAGCATTTTCAGTTTCTATCTGGCTGAGAATTGCTGCATAAAGATTTAACTTCCCTGTGCCTAATTATGTTCACCCACAAAAAAGAAATACAATTTTTCAGCCTATCTAATTCTTAGGTTCTTATGAGACTCAGATGAACTAGTCTATTTAAAAGTACTTAGTAGAAAGTTTATCTAAATTATCATTTTGCATTTCATGATTTAGGCAATGATTGATTCCAACTACCATCTGCTAAACATAACAAGCCTGAACATTCCAGAAATGATCATTTGGCAATTGTTGGTATACTTCAATGCTTAAGTAAAAACTAATAATATGTTCCATAAATAGACTCAAAAAAAATTCCAGAGCATAAATTAATCAGCATTTTTAGAAAGACTGAAAATAGTCTCACCTTTGTGTTTGTGTAGGAAAGTTTAGCAAGAATGTTTTCTTATTTAACTGCTTTCATAGAAAAGAAAACTGTTGTTTCTCTTGTAATACCATAACATTGCATCAAAAAATAAATGATAATAATAATATTGCAGCTGTGGCTTCTGTATTTACTCTGAAAACTATTTAATTAATCTCTTTTCACTACTGAATCTATAATAATTATATGCTAATTCCTTTGGTTATTTGATGAGTATCCTTTACAGATTCAAATGTTGCTATGGGGAAGGTAAGGTGCAAAGTGATTTTGGATAAACCTAATGCAAATATCATAATGGATTTATTCATTGAGATGGCAATTATAATAACCTTAAATTAATCCCTCTTTCCTTCCTCCTCCCATCTTATTTTAGGTTATATCTATCAGGCCAGTTCAGTTAATCATCAGGAAAAGTAGTCTATATGGATTGAGTACTAAATATGACGATATTTTTCGATGAAGTGACTGGATATTTTGGCATCCTTCAGTATGTCATGATTCATACTCATAATTCTGTTCATTTAAAGAGGTAGTCAAGAAAGTGCCACTGGCAGTATCACTACTGCACTATAAATGCAGTGTTTCTTGAATTCCCTAAGGAGCACATGTCTTCAACAGTAAAAGGGAACTGTGTAAAACTGGTGACATTTCCCTTTCAATGTTGTCCAGATAGACCCCCAGAGCCCAACATGTTTGCTTCTTCACTTTCTGTGGCATCCTGTCAAGATCCTGTAGGCAGTAAAATTTATTAGAAAGAAAACGTTAAGGTGGCCCAACTTTGAGCCATCTTACTAGGTATCAGTGACTGTCACTAATTCAGAGGTGACTTGGAGTTTTAAACCTTTCTGGTGATTCTAAATAAAGGAAGAAGGTGGAAACATCTCTATATTCAATTAACTATATCTACTAAAGGATATTAAAATAATGTGTTTTTTAAATTATTTATAAATATTTTAAGCCATATAAATACACCATATATATTCAATATCCATATATATGCTATGTTAGTATGTTGTCCACTTCCTGCCACACTGTAGAATCTCTTCATTCGTGAATACCTTCATTTCTAAATACCTGTAAGAACACATAGAAAAACATCTTTAAATATTGCCTTCGATGATCTCCGTACCCTCCCTCATCTTCATTCTATTTTTCAGCTACTAATCAGTTAGTGCTTATTCCTATCCTATTTCCACCCAGACTCAGTTGCTCATCTTACAATGGCCTCTGTCCTAAAGCCAATGAAAAAGGAGAGGTCTGAAATACTAACAATTCTAATGCTCCTGAGTAAATGACGCTCTGAACTAGTCAAGATTGCTGTCATATGGCACAGGCACTGCTCATATGAGCAGGTAGCTGTTCCCTCTCTCATCCACAGCAAGAGTTCAAATTTTTGGCTTGGTTCTTGCCACATGCTTAATTACCATTTTATCCTTTGCCTTTAAGTCTCACTCGGTTCATTCAGAACTAGTCTTCTGATGCACATGAGCCCAGACCCAGGTCTAGCCTATATAGAGAGAAAAAACCTAAGAAGATCTGGTCACATTTCTCTTCTTATCCTTATTGTCTACCATCATCCTGGGAATATGAACTCTGAGCTTTGCTCTGCTCTGTTACCAGTTACATTTTCTCCACTGTGTTATTTTCCTTTTTCTTGCATCAAAACCCTATTTTACAGGAAAGTGCTGATTTAACATGTTATTTCGCCTAATTGCCCTGCCTTATATCTTGGTTAGGGCCAAGGTCATGGTGTACTATACCATTTTTAAAGATGTGCTATAAAAGAGTTAGGTGAAAGGTATTAGGCTAAAATTAACTGGGATATAGAAAAGACTATATATTTTATTATTCCCTTTGAATACATTATCCAGAAAAGGCAAATCTATACAGATAGAAAGCAGATCCATGTTTTTCTAGGTCTGAGGTTTGATTGTGCTTATGTACAAAGGAACTTTTGGGGTAACAGATGTTTTTAAACTGGATTGTTGTAATGGTTGCACAACTTTATAAATTCACTAAAATAATAAATGAAATGAGTTAATTTGATGTTATGCAAATTATTCCTCAATAAACCTAAAAATAAACACAAATAGCTATAAACAGGTAGATATTGAGAGGTATAGGCAACACAAGATTGTCGATATATTGATAATTTTGAAACTGGTTGATGGATAATAGAGTTCATTATACCATTTTTCCTAATTTTATGTATGTACAAATTTTCAGAACAAAAATTTAAAAGAAATGGTTTGTTATGTTTATCTAGCAAACCAATGCAACATATTTAGTATTGTGCATAGCTCTCTGCAAAGCAGGTGCTGTGAGATAGACATAGACTCACGAAGTACTCAGATTGGATGGAACCTTAGAAAATCTTCAGGGCAAACACTTGATTTTAGATAAGGCAACTGTGGATGAGAGACAAGTGATTTATTCAAAGTTTTACCATTGATGATATTTTGCTTATAAAGATCCAACAGTTTATGGGTTCATGATCATAGGATTTAATATAAAAGAGCTTAAAATCCACTGGAATATACCTACTTATTACTATTATTATTTTTATTTTTTCATTCACATTTAAATGTGAAGAAAGGTAAAACTATTAACACAAGATATTACGTAATCACAGCAAAGACATTTAATATAAATCTAGATTTTTTTAACTATTTTCTCCCTAGTGTGCTTTATATAGATTTGATATTAAGGGTAACTTTCAAGTAATCTCCTATCTCCCCTCATTATTCATGGAGGGTTATTAGTATCTGCTCCTAATAAAATCTCAGGACTTCTCTACTTTCAGTCTCATCAATGGACTCCTTCCTCCACCTTAATTCCTTTGTGTTCCATTTCTATGCTTTTCTTTGGTCTGACATCTTATTGCACTCTTTTGACTTTAAGTTGGCAGCACATGAGTACAAAGCTTGCACTTTGTCCATCAGCTTTTAATGTTGTTATGCTTATGCTGCCCAAAGATCCAAGTAATGGAACTAAGATTCATAAGGGAAAAGAGAGTTATAAGCAAAACAAAACATGTTAATGTACAATTATTGTTTCAAAGTATATGTAATTCAAATTTTGGCATGCTGAGAAAATAAAACTTAGTCAAAACAATCTGGAAAATGATAGTGATGTTTCTAGCCTAATCTTTCTACATTTTATGAGCAAAAAAATATTGAAAGTTTGTGTAATAGGGTTATGGACTGAAGTAGATGAGTCACCTCTGTAGCTTTCTCCTGCCCTTGGACATGATTTTTGCATTTTATTTGTCATTCCTAGTTGTTCTCATAGAGAGCCCTAATATCCCACTAGCTGCTTTGAAACTCTTTTCATCCCCTCAAATATTCCCAGGGATATTAGTATGTACACTTGTAGAGCTACTCCTTTCCTGAGCAACTTACAAGCTGCTTTTTTCTTTCTTCTGAGTAGGTACTGATGAAGGCACACAAAGTTGAGAATAGCAAATATTTGAACACAATTCAATAATCAAATGATGAATAGAAACCACCTTATTAAATGTTTTAACTTTTAAAATTACCCCAATATTCTTTCTTTGGTGTTACTTTATTTTTTCCACTTACCTAATTTAATGATGTATTAGAGATCAAATTATCTTTTAGTAATAGTTTTTAAGAGGTAATATAATGACATGGTAAACAAACACTTAAATAGTACAAAGGTATACAATAAAAATTAAATGTTCTTCCTAGTCTAAATCTCAAGTCCTATTTCCCAGAGACAACAACTATTGATAGTTTGTGTGTATATTTGAAAAAACTAATAATAGTAATAATTACTTATATTACAATGGATTTCAAGCTCTTTTCATTAGAATATTCAGATCAAAAGTTATTTTCAACAGTTGCATCTATTATATAAAAGTAACAATAAGTTTTTTAAACAATTATTCTCTTATTATGGGCAACTAGGTCTGTCCTTCCTTCCTTCCTTCTCTCCCTCCCTCCCTTTGTTTGATGTTATTTTTATTATTACAACAATATTGCAATAAATAATAGATGCGAATATATCCCCAGGGTAAATTCTAAACAATTGAGTTGATAAGTAAAGGATTTGTAAATTCGTTGAATTCTGTATCTAACGCAAAATTGCCTTCCAAAAGGGCTATACATATTTATATTTCACTCCTGTTAGTAGTGTGTAAGAGATCTATTTTTCCTAAACACTTAACAATATTAATAAACATGACATTTAAATTTTACATTCAAATTTAATGACGAATTTAAGATTTTAAGGATTTAGGTTTTTTTGTCTTGCAAAAATCATCAATTTCTCTTTCAATTAAGTGAGGTTTTGTTTGTTTGTTTTTAAAAGGTTATACCAGAACTTCTGCTCCTGTCTTGACTGGAGGCACTAATGGCAGACTAAAGCTGCCTCTGAGAACAAATAGGAAAGCCAAATAAAATACAAAAACCATCATTCCAGTATAAGTAATCACTACTGAGACAAGAGGACTGGAAAGGCAAAGGTTCCAGAGAGGGAAGAAGCTCAGAGAGGGGACATGTCTCCTCAGCCACTCTCACCCTGGGACATTTGATGATTCTGGGCATGAGCAGCACAGGGAAAACCCACATATTACATGTTTTGAAAAACCAAGACAGCTTTGACAGAGACGTAGGAGACTTCAAGTACACGACCCATTCTCCTCTTAGGAAATTTCATGATTCTGGGCCTGAAAAGGAAAGGAAACTAAAATCATAAATGGAAAACCTCTGAAAAACAGGGCAAATATCACAAGACAAAGATCAGCATTTGAGACCAGTTAGGGAGAGGTGGTGGAAAATATGCAGGCTTTTAGCTGAAAAACCTAAAGGGCCAGGAATGAACCAGAGTTGGATTGAACTGCCATGTAGGAATGACATAGTGGTTTTTGTACAGAGACTGTATTGTATTTATATTTTGATTATAGGATAATTGAATACTTTGCAATATTTAAATCTTTCTGAGCTTCTGTTATATCTTTCAACACAACTTGAAAATTCCTCCACATATGTACATACCGTAGTTTATTTCTGGGTACTTTCTAGTGTTTATTGCTTATAATTATAAATAGGACTTTTATTTCACTATATTCATTGATTTATTTATATTTAATTTTCTATTGAGGTACAACATACATGCAGAAAAGTCAAAAACTCTTAAGTTTATGTATTTTAACATATAGTACTGGAACAATACGATAATCTATATCCAAAAAAAAAAAATGAACCAAGATCCATATCTCATACCATATACAAAATTTAACTCAAAATTGACCATAGACTTAAAAATGTAAAACATAAAACTGTAAGATTTCTAGAAGAAAGCCTTGAGTTAGGCAAAGATCTCTAAGATATGACAATAGCACAATGCAGTAAAGAACAAATTTATAAGCTAGACTTAATTAAAATTTAAAACGTCTTCGAAAAATATTGTGAGAAGAATAGGAAGACAAGCCACAACTGAGAGAAAAATATTTGCAAAGTATATCTGATACAGGTCTTTATCCAGAATATATAAGAACTCTCAAAATTCAGCAATAGGAAAACAACCCAATTTTTTTAAATGGGCAAAAGATGTGAACAGATGCTTCACCAAAGAAGATATAGGGATGGTATATAAGCACATGAAAAGATGCTCATCATTAGTAATTAGAAAAATGAAAATTAAAACCAGAACAATACCATTATATGCTATTAAAATGGTTAAAATTTAAAAGGCTGATGATACCCAGTGTTGGCAAAGCTGTGGAGGAACTGAAAATCTCATGCACTGCTAGTGATATACAATAAACTATAAATATTTCAAGGTTATAATTTGATAAGTTTTGACATATGTACATGCCCATCTGATACATAATACAGACAGACATATACATATGTCAAACTGACATACAATAAACTATAAATATTTCAAGATTATAATTTGATAAGTTTTGACATACGTATATGCCTGTCTGAAACTATCACCACAACCAAGATAATGAACAAGCTAATCATCTCGAGAAGTTTTCTAATGCCCCTTGGCAATCCTTTCTAAAAACTCTTCCTCCTGCACATATCTGGGCAACCACTGATCTTTCTATCAGTGTAGACTACTTTGCAATTTCTAGCCTTTTATAAAATAGAATCATATAATACATACTTTTTCTTGCCTTGCTTTTTTTACCCAGCATAATTATTTTTAGATTCATTCACATTTTTGCATATACCTATGATTCATTTCTTTTTATTCCTAAGTAGTATTTCACTGCGGCTGTACCACAATTTGCTCATGATTTATCTGTTGATGGACATTTGGGTGTTTCCAGTTTTAGGCTATGACAAATAAAGCTGGTATGAATATTCCTGTACCAGTCTTTATATGAATACACATTTTCACTTATCTGGAGCAAGTACTTACAGTGGAATGGATGGATCATACACCTGATATATGATTCATCCATTCCATTATAATTTTGAAATATTTGCAGTTTATTGTATAAGAGTTATGTCTCAAGAGCTGCTAAAATATTAAAATAATGAATCCTGCCCCTCAAAATCTTAAATTAATAGATTGACATATTTTTACACATATGAAAATCTGTGTAACACCACCTGGATACAAATATAGAGTTTGAGGTGCCCCAGAAACTTGCTCATGCTTTTTTCTAGTCAATTCATATGCCGCAGTCAGTAATCATTCCTACTTTTCCAGTTCTTGAGCTTTATATAAAGGGAATTACATGATATGTGCTCATCTTCCTTTTATATGTGTATCAGCAGTTTGCTGTTTTCCATTGTATTTTATTATATTTATTCATTTTACTGTAGATGGGCATTTGAGTTGTTTTCAGGTTTTTGGCTATTTTGAGTAAGGCTGCTATGAATATTCTTGTATATATCATTTGGTACACAATAGCACTCCTTTCCTTGAAGTTCAACCACTGGGTCATAGAGTGGGAATTTGTCTAGCCTTAGCAGATATTGACATGTAGCATTTGGAAGTGTAACTATTTACATGCCCAGTAATTCTTCTTGCTGTATATCATTTCCAATTCTTGGAGTTTTAAAATTTATCTTTTTATCTTAGCAATTATTACAGTGCCGTCAAACGGTGTTTTTAATTTTTATTTCTCTATTAGGTAATGATGCCAAACATCTATTAATATGCTTATTGGCAATTGTGGATATCTTCTTTTGTGTTCAAGTATATCAACATTTTAAAATTTGGGCTGTATATATTCTTCTTCATAATGTAAAAGAGTTTTATGGCATGTATCAGCAGTTTGTTCATTGGTATAGCTGAATAATAATTCCATTGAAATAGTATATCAAAACTTATCCAACAATATATTTTTACTATTCAGTAAAATCTATTCCATACTGATTAATACAACATTAATCTTATCATTTTGTATCTATGATTATTTCCCTGTCACACATCTAATGCTGTGTATTTGTGCTTTTTCCTTTTATTCTTGATATTAGCTAATAATCTGTTTTTGGCTTCCTTGATTTTAAGAATTGATCTTTGATATGTATTTTAATGTTATTATTTTTCTCTTTTCTTATTTATTGTTTTCTATCCTTATCCCATAAATTTCGCACATTTATTTTTCTTGGTTGTACTGTATTTTGTTTTTCATCTCTTAATTTCATTCATTCATTCATCCGGTACCACATGTTGATACCTACTATATGTTAAATGCTTCTGGAAACTAGAAATACAGCACTGAACAAATAGACAGAAATCCCTGCTCTCATTAAGCTGACATTGGAGTGAAATATTTTTAAATTAAATGCTTAAATAATTTTAATTGAGTTTTAAAATCTTGATGGTATTAATTTTCCTCTAAGCATGAATTAACTGAAACCCAAAGGTTCTGATATATAATGTTTTATTACTATTGGTTTTAAAATATGTTACAAATTTCATTTTTATTTTTCTCAGTTACCTGAGACTCATTTAGGACAGAGTCATGTGTTGTTTACCTTTCAAGAGGCATGAGATTTTGTTTATATGTTTATTGTTAATATTGATGTTTAATTCAATGTGATCAGAACATAAGTCCATACTTTTTCTACTTTTTTAAATAAGGATTTAAAACTAAGTTTTTTATAATTTTGCAAATATTCTATGGAGACATAAAAGAGAAAGGCATTCTTCATTTTCAAGAATATATGCTTAATATATATCTGTTAGATGCTCATAATAATTACATTTTTGTAGATTCTTAATATTATTTACTTATTTTTGTCTATTAAACCTGACTTTGACCAAACATATGTTCCACTTATTTATCCTTTTTCTACTATTATTTTCCCATAAAGATATTTATGGTACACTAATTTCTTACAAAGACTAACTTTCATTGTTCAATGTAACATTTTCTTTGTAAAATGGTCTTCTTTGTATCCTTAATGCTTTAAGACTTGAATTAAAATTGGTCTTATATTATTATGCGTTTCATTAAAAGTAATTATTTATTTTTGCCATCTCTTTTTTTTGCCTATTCATTTATTTTCAACCTGAGTCACTTGCTTTATGCATACTTCATTATTTGTTTAAATACAATTAAATTCTGTTGTAACATGATTTTTAATTTAATTACATATATTGAGTTGACAGATATATTTAAGTCTTGCTTCTGTTATTTAATGTTATACTTTCATGTTATGTTTTTATTTTTAATGTTCTTTTCTTTTTAATGTTTCTTTGCATGGTTTATGGTATCTTTACATTGTTTTATGTTATCTGTGCTTTCTTTCAGAAATAATCAATTGTTTTTATAATTTGTTTTTATTTTTATGGGTCTTCCACTAAGACTTTATTAAATTAGCTCATAAATTGATTCATTTATTTTAAAACAGGGTTTATTGTCCTCTCATTTCCCACTCTGAGAATATGGAAATAGTATTCACGAACTTCTTACAACTTCTTGTCCCCATCCTCTTTATCCCAAGTTTTATCTCTATATTGTAAGTCCTACAATATGAAGATTTACAGATATTCTGGCCAATCATTAAAATATTTTCAGTAATTTTTCCTTAGTCTTACAAGAAACTTTGTTCTTATAAACTTAGTTTAACAGATTGTGTTGGCCATTTTCTCTACCACGATTTCTTCATTCATCTGTTTGTCAGAATAATTTCCTCTTGAGGTTGCTTTCCAAAAAGAAACTGTGTGTCACAGACCCTATTTCTTTTCTATTTGAAAATATCTGTGCATTGCCACTTTCTGAGCCATCTCTTTGCAGGAGAATATATGGAGTAAAGTTAGGGGAAACACACCTGGCAATTGGTGTGTTGGATCCAGCTGTCATAAACCACTTCTCAAATTTTGTGCTGCTTACATTGCCTTACTGCATCTTTACTCACAACGACAAGGAGGCTGTGGGGTTACCAAAAAATCTCTGCATTTCACTGCCTTCTGTGAGGTGATCTAACAGTTATTTATCTTTCTTTACTGAGATTGGCAGATGTCAAATCATGTCTTCTCTTATTCTGCCCTGCCTTCCTGCTATTGTGCTTTAGTTCAAGCCACAAGTCACATACTTGTGACTTCCAAGTGTGTCACCAATTTCTGAGAACTACAAATGCAGCTTGATTGTCTCTGGGCCCTGTTGCTTCATATCCTCTTGATATTTGATCTGGATTTTATTTTTTTTAACTGACTATTGCAATTGTAGTGGTTGCCTAATTTCATTGAAAATTCAGTAGTCTTAGTAGTTTTCAGCTGGTTTCAGAAGAGAGTCGAGTAGAAATGGCCTTAATTTACCATTTTTGTCTGGAAGTCTCCAAATTATTTCTTAACTGAGTCATATCACAGAAAGATAGTTACTTGGGAACAATTTAATCACATACTTTATATAAACTAGTAACTGAATTTTCTTTGGAGTTAAGTTAAACATTATAATTAATTGAAAGCACAACATACCAATTTCAGTGTAGCTTTGATAACTTGAGCCTTTTCAGAGAGGGTAAGTGGTATTTAGCCTAAGAAAACAAGGTCTGTTCAGTTTGGCTGTCTTGATTTGTTTTCAGTCTACTCTGTCTTCTTAAAGACCCAACCATCCTCTTGTGCATTTCAGAGGACTCAGAGATTCTGTACTTTCAGTAAATCGGTGTCCAACCCAGGGTTCAAAAACAAAGTGCCTATAAGGGCCAGAAAGAAAATGTAAATGTGAAGTGGAAGAAGCCTGGGGAGAGAAAGAGACATGCAGTGATAAACTGCACGGCCGCCGACCACAGCTAAATGAGGTGGTTGTGCTGCATTCAGCCCCACCTGATTGCTGGCAGGCACACAAAGACCAGATTTCCAGCTTTTCCCACTGCACATGAAAATGTGAATTCTGCCAGTTTTAAAATGTTGGCCAAATGTGTTTTTCAAACACTACGTAGGAGACAAAACACATTTGTGAACCAGAAAATTGGCCTGAAGGGTACTTCTGCCCCTTCCAGTTGTTGCTATTTCTGTCAGGGTTTTGGTCCCTCCTCTGCAAACCCTTATACACCTTTCCCATACTCTTTCTTACTGCTTTCCTCTATGCTCTCTGCTTAGACTCAGGCCTTGGGACCCAATTCTTACTCTAACATCTTCTTTTTTGCAGATGCATTATCTCATGCTTTCATAATAGTTCCCGTGATAAATAACTTTTGCCTCTAAGCATTCAAAGAGATCTTGCACTATGCACACTCTAGAGATGTTTTTGTAATTGCTGCTCTTTCCTGAACACTTTAAGATTCCCTAGGGCTCCCATCTGCTATCACAATAAAAATTATATCCAAGCGAGATTCCTTCCTTCATCACTCTGGTCATGAAGAAGTGAGCTAGGCATTTATAACTGTAACACCATCGTTTTGTACGAATCTTAACTACTGGTCTTGACATGCAGACAATAGCAGCAGGGAGGACCACCAAAAAGTTCTGTCAATAATTCTTTGAGTTTCTCCTACTACTTTCTTTAAAAACAAAACAAAACAAAACAAAACAAATATTTGTTTCTTGAGCTCTGAATATGTATACATAGCATTTTAACCTCTAATGCTTACTATATGTATTAAGATACATGTCAATTTAGTTAATTATTTATATAGTAGAAGCCTTCTTGATTTGAGAGCAAAGTTTACATTTTTCTCAGCAATCCTGATTTTATATGCTTAACTTTGAGAATTATAATAAAAAGTCATATGACATTCAGAGAAATATAAGGCATATAAAATTAGAAATTCCATTACTTAGAGAGAAGAGATTTCAATTTGTAGATTATTTGAACCTTTTGATATTTCTTCATGTCAGTGAGGTTCATTTTCCAGTTCTTTAGTTAATTGCTAATATTTTCACCAGAAAAAGTGGAACAAAATGAGGCACCATATTTCCCATTTAAAGCCTAGAAATAGACAGTGAAGACTTTTTATAAAACTACACTCTCCATTTCCCTGACGAAAATTGAGTATACAGGGAGTTTGGATATATTTTGTTTACCCAAGGGCTATTGAAGAGAAAAGAATAACTTGAGGACTATCTCACTTCTAATCGATAGTGGTAGTGCTAGCGGTACTTTTTCTATGACGAAAACACCCTATTGCCAGACTATAAAGATTACCCTTAACATCTTTCCTCTTTGCTTTTCTTCCCACTGATTTTCTGGCATTTAGACTGGGATACACTACATATGCAATATATATATTAATCACTGTGGTACTAATATTTTCATTCTGACTTTTCATTTATTATATATGACTTGCATAAAAAACAAATGCTACCTAATTTTGTTTCGTTTTAGTCCACGTGGACAAAAGGATTGATTGAAAACAGTTGACAGACATAAGGGAAAAAATGTTTCAGCTACCGTTCAAATTAACAGTTGCAACAATATATGGGTGATTACAGCATACAATAAGTGAAATAAAGAACAGCAATATTATAAAGGACAGGTGAGAAAAATTAGAATTACTCTATTACAAGGTACCTGCATTACCCACAAAACCAGGATAGTATTATCTGAAAGCAGACTTAGGCAGGGCACGGTGGCTCACGCCTGTAATACCAGCACTTTGGGAGGCCAACATGGGCAGATCACGAGGTCAGCAGATTGAGACCATCCGTGGGCCTGGTCCCTCCAGTAGGAGTCATGAGCCAGCTGAATTTGAATGCAAAAATGGAGCAAGGGCCAACCGCAGTCACACTGACATCCACCCCCATAACATGGGGACAGATCAAGAAAACAAAGCAGGAAGCTGAGAAAATGCTGGAGCATCAGGGTCAGGCAAAAACCCCTGACTCCATGTGCTTGGCCATGTTAGCAGTAGTGTCCCGTGAGTCTATAAGATTGGGTGGACCACCAACCAGCAATTGAAAGCTGCACAGCCTGGAATTACCTTTATTCAATTAATGCAAAAACATAAAGGGGGAGATGTTGGACGCCAAAGGAATTAGGGTCATGACCAACTCAGTATACCATTGGAGGCTGTATGAGCAAACAGCAAATTGTTCTCGTGAAAGCAGTTGGCAGGCTGACAACTGAATCTGCCCCCAGAAGGAATGTTGAGGGCAGTCACGTCCCAGGTGCCATGTTCCTTGAAGTTATCTACAGAAACGTATGGAGCTTGTTGAACAAAAAAAGCAATCATGTACACCTGTGTTAAATTAAATAGTTGACTGACAGTTACCCCTTCCTCTCTGTTTACTCCACCAAATAAATATGAAGGGCTGTAGAAGCTCAGGGCTCTTGTTCTCTAGAAGCAAGGAGCCCCCAATCCCTTCTTTCAAAAAAAAAAAAAAAAGACTCCACGGGAAAACTATTAGAACTAAAAAAACAAATTCAGTAAAGTGGAAGGATACAAAATCAACACAAAAAAATTAGTAGCATTTCTATATGCCAATAGCCAACAATATGAAAAAGAAATTTAAAAAGTAATCTCATTTATAATAGCCACACATAAAACTAAATATCTAGGGATTAACTTAATCAATAAGTAAAAGACTTCTGTAATGAATATTACAAGACACTGATGAAAGAAATTGAAAAGGACACAAAAAATGGAAAGATATTCTATGTTCATGGATTGAAATAACCAACATCATTAAAATGTCCATACTACCCAAAGCAATCTACAGATTCAATGCAATCCCTCTCAAAATACCAATGACATTCTTCACAGAAATAGAAGAAAAAATCCTAAAATTTATATGGAATCAGAAAAGACCCAGAATAGACAAAGCTATCCTGAGCAAAAAGAACAAAACTAAAGGAATCATATTATCTAACTTCAAACTATACTATAGAGTTATAGTAACCCAAAGAGCATGGTACCAGCATAAAAACAGACATATAGACCAATGGAACAAAATAAGAACTCAGAACTGAATCCACACACCTACAGTGAACTCATTTTTGACAAAGGTGCCAAGAACATACACTGGGGAAAGGATAGTCTCTTCAATAAATAGTGCAGAGAAAATTGGATATTCATACACAGAAGAATGAAACTAGATCCCTATCTCTCACCATATACAAAAATCAAATAAAAATGGATTACAGACTTAAATCTAATACCATAAACTATGAAACTACTGTAAGAAAACATTGGAGAAAGCCTCCAGGACATTGGTCTGGGCAAAAATTTCTTGAGTAATACCTCACAAGCACAGGCAACCAAAGCAAAAAATGGACAAATGGGATTGCATCAAGTTAAAAAGCTTCTGCACAGTAAAGGTTACAATCAACAAAGTGAAGAGACAACCCACAGAATGGGAGAAGATATTTGCAAACTACCCATCTGACAAGGGAATATTAACCAAAACATATAGTGAGTTAAAACAATTCTATAAGAAAAAAAATCTAATAATCCAATCAAAATAATGGGCAAAAGCTTTAAACAGACATCTCTCAAAAGAAGACATACAAATTGCAAACAGGCGTATGAAAAGGTGCTCAACATCATTGATCATCAGAGAAATGCAAATCAAAGCTACAATGAGTTGTCATCTCACCCCAGTTAAAATGACTTATATCCAAGAGACAGGCAATAACAAATACTAGTGAGAATGTGGAGAAAAAGGAACCCTTTACACTATTGGTGGGAATGTAAATTAGTACAACCACTATGGAGAACAGTTTAGAGGTTCTTCAAAAGACTAAAAATGAGCCACCACATTATCCAGCAATCCTATTGTTCAGTTATACCCAAGAGAGAAGAAATCAGTATATCAAAGAAATATATTCGTTCCTATATTTATTGCAAAACTATTCACAACTTTGTAAGTCAAGATTTGGATGCAACCTAAATGTCCATTAACAGATGAATGGATAAAGAAAGTGTGGTACATATACACAATGGAGTACTATTCAGCTATAAAAAAGAATGAGATACTGTCATTTGCAACAACAATGATGGAACTGAAGATCATTACGTTGAGTGAAATAAGCCATGCACAAAAAGGCATACCTCACATGTTATCACTTATTCGTGGGATCTAAAAATGAAAACAATTGAACTCAGAGATAGGGAGTAAAAGGATGATTACCAGAGGCTGGGAAGGATAGTGGGGGGCTAGGAGAGGGAAGGGGAGAGGGTTAATGGGTACAGAAAAACAGAAAGAATAAATAAGACCGAATACTTGGTATCACAACAGAGTGACTCTAGTCAATAATAATTTAATTGTACATTTTGAAATTAGTAAAGGCCAGTTGCGGTGGCTTACGCCTGTAATCCCAGCACTTTGGGAGGCCAAGGCGGGCGGATCACCTGAGGTCGGGAGTTCAAAACCAGCCTGACCAACATGGAGAAACCTTGTCTCTACTAAAAATACAAAAAATTAACTGGGCATGGTAGTGTATGCCTGTAATCCCAGCTACTTGGGAGGCTGTGATAGGAGAATCACTTGATCCCAGGAGGCGGAGGTTGTGGTGAGCTGAGATTGCGCCATTGCACTCCAGCCTGGGCAACAAGAGTGAAATTCCATCTTAAAAAAAAAAAAAAAAAAGACAGAAAAAAGAAAAAGAAATGTGTAAAAGAGTATAATTGGATTGTTTGTAACACAAAGGATAAATGCTAGAGGAAATGGATACCCCATTCTCTGATGTCATTATTACACATTGCATGCCTGTATCAGAACATCTCATGTACCTCATAAATTTATATGCCTAATGTATACCCACAAAAACTAAAAGTTACAAATTTAAAAAAATCAATAAATATTTTATTGAATGAATAAAATAACAAGTAAATGAAGGACTGAGTTTCAATGTGTTCTGTGAAACAATCATACTATTGGCAAAAGGCAGAAGGGTTGACCTCAAGACAGGAGATCTAGGAACACATTTTACCAATAAGAAGAGCCGCTGTTTATTATTTTCCTATAGAAAACTGACTAGTCATATTTAGGTAACAGACATGTCTTTTTTCCTTGTAAGCTGTGATTTCTATCAAGTTATTGTTGCCATTCAATTAAGTCAGCTACAGCGATTCAGTCTTTTGTTGTAGTGTGCTAAATTAAAAGAGACTGTGGGTAATGACTACTACAGAGCAAGGTGGCTGTTACAGCCAAGCAAGGAGGAGACAGTGTTCAAGTTCTTGTTTGTAAACAGGGAAACAATAAAGGGCCTAAGAAGGGTAAGGATGATTGTGTGATACAGGCGAGTAGCTCACAAGGGAACAATTAAGAAATAGTCCCCAGATGAGACCCTTTTATCCCTAAAATACTAAGGGAAGGTGAAAGATATGAGAATGGTTAAATTTGGGTAACATGACATAGTGAGCAAATTTTGCTGAAAATAAGTACCTCCCTTTTCTACTCACTCTCAGTTAATAACCTTCCCTCTTAGCTTACCCAGAAAAGTAAAATACATTTACATGGGCTTTGAGATACCTGAAGTCTCTAGTCAATCAGGTCAGTGGGTAACATGGGAAATTATAGGTCAGGTGGATGTAAAATGTGTGAGGAAGGGAAGGCTAAGCTGTCCTGCAAGGGTGTCTAGAGAGTTGTCTGGACACCGCTTATGCTGTGTCACTGCCATTTATTGTATGTTGCAAATCTGCAACACTTTCTCTAGCACTTAAAAAAATACGCAGTAAGCCCTTATAGCTGCATGATCTTAAAGAAAGCTACGATTTTAATAAATAATTACTGAATTTCTGTGCATGAAGAAAGTGAATGATAAATGTGTAATTTACACTAAGTAGTTGTCTTTACCACTCACCCTGAAGACCAGTTATACCATGTTAAAAGCAGAATGCACAATTCTGCTAACAAAACAACCACATTTACTTCAAATGTTATTTGTGTATTAAACAGACATTAAACATTTAATACCTGGAGCTGCAGAAATTGTGTTTATATATTGCTCTATGAAGCAAGACATTTTGTTCCAAACAAATGAAAACAACTGTTTTCTATGTTAATTTCACTCATTTTCTATTTAAAATTATTTTCTGTGCATGCAAGAGAAATGAAATGACAGTTCTTACAGTGTCGGCTCCATTCACCGAACTTCTCAAATAATTGAAAACATTAGTTTTATATCAATCAAGAAATGTTTTCAACAGTAAACCCACTAAGGTGATTCTAACAATGGTTAAATTTATTTCATCCAATTTGAAAGCTCACTTTGTCAAAGATGAAATACTTAACATTAACATTATTATAAATGTCTAAGTCCTGTTAGAAAAAAAATAACTGGAAATATTTTACTTTTTGATGAAAGTAAGTAAAATGGGATTACAAAACCGACAGAGATTCATGCAAATGAACATACATACTGCCATGGCCTGATTGTTTGTGTTCTCCCAAAATTCACCTGTTGAAAACTTAATCACCAAAGTGATGGTATTAAGAGGAAGGACCTTCAGAAGGTGATGAGATTTTTAGAGAGGAGGCTTCATGAGTGGGATTAGTGCCCTTATTAAAGGGACCCCAGAGAGCTGCTTTGCCCCTTCCACCACATGACTACACATTAGAAGGTGCCAAAAAGCAGCCTTCACCAAATAACCAAATCTACTGGTGCCTTTATCATGGACTTCTTAGCCTTCAGAACTTCATGAAATAAATATCTATCTGTTGTTTATAAGCTACCAAGTCTAAGGAATTTTGTCATAGCAGTTCCAACGGATTAAGACACACACACACACCATACACACACATAGAGGATAAAAATATGTACAAAAATAAAATAAAGTAAGGAGTTTTCAAGCAAGTATTGATTGTCGAGCTTCTGTCACAAATAATTTAAAAACCAGTCTAGAAGTAAAATGGCAAGCAATTAAGAAACGATGTAAAATGCTACAATGTCTGATGGAAAAACAGCAGGATTCTTATTAAATAGAGTAGACCAGGAAATTGAACCAAGTAAAAAGAATGGGATTCACAGATGTTGAAAAATCTATTGATTTCTTTCCTACTTTCCCTAAATAATTCTTGACAAAGCATGGCTATATAAGCAAAAGAAAGATACTGTCTGTTTAGTTCAATTCCATATACGACAATAGTCAATGTCTATATATAATAATTTATCTTCTGTCTACATCTGTTTAACCATCTGACATCACTGTTTCAATGATCAAAATATCCCATAACGTCAAAGTACTTTTTTTTGGTGTAACTCTTAATTCTTAAAATGACTTGCTTACAAAAGCTGAAACAATATTCTTTCTAAAACACAGCCTTAATACACTTGGGCCTTTCCTAAATTAGTACTGAGAAACAATACTATGTCACATAAGATAGATTATACTGTGAGCATAATTAAATTTGAGAAAGAATAACCAAAATACAGCAAAGAATATCTAATAAGTAGCTTTGAATTCAATGGCTTTAAATATTATATATATGCATATTTACTTAGAACATTAAATATTCTCTTAACCAATCAGAAATGAATTGTGATATCAGGTAAAAAAAATTGCATAAGTTGAAGTGGGCAAGTTTATTCTACATTGCACAAAATGCCCAAGTTTCAAAGGCATAACACAACAGAAGTTCATTTTTTCTTCTGTTCCTTGTCTACATCAGGTGAACAGTGGGGGGCTGTGCTCTTCACAGTCTTTCAGTTCCTCAGATGGAGACTCCTCAATTCATGCATCCACTCTCATCCCTGTGAGGGAAGAAAAATGCCAAATCAGATATTGACTCTTAAAGATACCAGAGTTTAAGCTTTCATCACTTCCAGTCACATTTTTTGGCAAAGAAAAAAAAGTCAAATAGGTGTACCTAAATTCAAAGGGATAGCAAAGGATGATTCTATCATGTGTTCAGAAAGGCGAACTGATCAACTGTGGTAATATTTCAGATTTCTAGTCACCAAATATTCACTTTACTACCTTCTGACTGCAAAATACACTCATCAACTTCCCAGGAGGGTAAACCAAAATTTCATTCAGTTATGGCATCAATCTCAAAGTTCAAAATTCTGGATGACAGATGTTTGGTAGTCTCTACATCAGGTCAGCTGTGGCTCTTAATCTTCTATAGATGGATAAACTGCAATAGTAAATTATACGTGCTTCTGAACAGAGAATTCACTCATAGACTAGGGATGAGACTTTTTGTTTTAATAGAGAAAGGGTCTCACTTTGTTGCCCAGTCTGGTCTCAAACTTCTGGCTTTAAGCAATCCTCCCACCTCAGCCTCCCAAAGTGCTGGGATTAGAGGTATGAGCCACCATGCCCAGCCAAGATAAATGCAATAAAAACACTTGTATTCAGAAAAGAGAAGATGAGAGATATGGACGACACAGACTTGGTGAAACTGACTTGGGCAAGTAGAACCTATTCTTTGATGAAGTTCCTCTTCTGTAGGTGGGCACTGTGTCCATTATTCCCCCTGGCCCTTGTCTACATCCTAAATGAGCTTCTTGCATAATGATTGGGAGGGCCCAAAATGGACAAATTTTCCTTAGAAGATCTCAGGCATAAATCTCAGACTGGCTCTTCCTTAAAATCTTCCTTTAAACTCAGTAAGCTTCTTATCTTTTTCATCCCAGTCAGTTCTACATATCAGTTATCCTTCTTAGGTTTCATATCTCCTACCACCACCACTCCCACCTAATCTCACTCTTTGCATGTTAACTTACTTGTATTTGGAACTTATCAGGCATCAGGAAAAATTTTACCTTAAATCCAGCTGGAAAGACTTAAACTACTAGAGTCTGGAAGAAGCGGGGCTGAAGAATCCACTTCCAAGATAACTTCTTAAGAAAGCTCATGACAGACAGTTGAATGGTGGTTGCCAAGGGCTAGGGCAAAAAGACGAGTATAAAATTAGTGTTTACTGGGTACAGTGTTTCAGTTTGGGATGATGAAAAAATTCTTGGGATGGTGTTGATAGTTGCACAACAACGTGAATTCACTGCTTACTGCCACAGGACTATACACTTAAAAATGTTTTAAAAGGTAAATGTTATGTTGTATATATTTTATCACAATTGAAAAAAAGCCTATGCCTCAGGAGAGATGATTTAAAAACTGGCTCAATTGGAACTGTTTACTGGAGAATCTAGCACCTGGATCCTCTCTGTGGACTGGGCTTCTTAGACTATAGTGGCTGGGATCTGCAGAAGTCATCTCAAAAAGAGGCCTCCAGATCATGGCCTTCTGACCTAGTTTTTTTGTTTTGTTTTGTTTTTTATCCTTAAAATTCAGAGGTACACGTGTAGGTTGGTTACATAGGTAAATTTATGTCATAGGAGGTGTTATACAGATTCTTTCATCACCCACGTATTAAACCTAGTACCCATTAGTTATTTTTCCTAATCCTCTCCCTTCTCCCACCCTTTACCCTCCAATAGGCCCCAGCATGTGTTGTTCCCCTCTATGTGTACATGTGTTCTCATCATTTAGCTCCCACTTTAAGTGAGAACATGCGGTATTTGGTTTTCTGTTCCTGCATTAGTTTGCTAAGGATAATGGCCTCCAGCTCTATCCATGACCCTACAAATGTTCTTTTTTATGGACCCTATGTTCTTTTTTATGGACCCTATGTTCTTTTTTATGGATGCATACTAGTCCATGGTGTATATGTACCACATTTTCTTTATCCAGTCCATCATTGGTGGGCATTTAGGTTGATTCCATGCCTTTGCTATTGTGAATAGTGCTGCAATGAACATACACCTAATTGTGTCTTTATGATAGGATGATTTGCATTCCTTTGGGTATATACCAGTAGTGGGATTTCTGGGCCATGTTTTTAAAAGGCTGCAAATTCTCTTGACTTAATCCTTATGACAAAGCTCAGTTTAACTCAGCCTTTTTTCATTAAAGGCCTTCTCCATTTGATTTTCTATTTATTAGGTTAGAGAAGGCACATTCCAACATTGTAATTCACCAAATTTCTGGACTTTCCCTTTTTCTACTTTGCTTGCAAACCAGTCATTCTTTTTATTCTGAGCTCTTATCTCTCATGATCCTTCTCCCAAATGCTACCAACGTCAACCAAAGCATACTAGTAACATATATTTTTACAGCCACTTCTCATAGAAACTTGGGCTCTGCTTTCTAAATAATTTCCCTTTCATCTATTGTCACTACATCATGGATTGTAATTTTTTTTCTAGATTCCAATATTGGTTTCCTTCCTGGTTCTTCCACTAATTTATTAAGCCAGTTCCCCACATTTTAAGCCATCTTGTGCATTAGTGAGTGTAGATAGGTTACACTATTATAGGAAATATTCCAAACATTAATAGATTCACTATATGAAATTTTATTTTACACTCATATCTCTTGTCTAACTCAGGTCATCAGGGAGGCTCTGCTTACAATAATCACTTAGCACCTAGGCTGATAGAGACCTTATCTCAATACATGTGTTAAATCAAGATCTTCCTATTAAAACTTCTTCCAGAAAGGATATATCCTTCACTTCTGCTCCAATTTAATTGACAAGTTACGTAGGTACACCTAACTACAGAAAACAATGACATTCCATGTTACCGCGTACCCCATAAAGAGGAAAACCAGAAATATTTAGTGTACAGCACTAATAACTACTATTGAGTTCTAAATGATAAGCCTACAATATCTAGTTTGGTAATTTGAATTTTCATGCCTTGCTAAGTAGATTCAATGGCAATTGTAGCAGTGGGAATAATTTCAATTTTAATTTTATTCAAATGTAATACACTATATATGTTCTTAACTGTGGATATATAGTTGTTAAAAGAAAGTCAGGAAATAAAAATGAGAATTTCTTTTGACAAACTAAAAAAGAACTTTCTGAAAATTAGGATTCTCAAATATCAGAAACTTTTCATAAAGAAAATTTAATATTTTTCTCCAAAGGATCTGCTTTGACACAATTGGATGATTATGCACACTGAGATTTCTAAAATAGTTTGGATGTAACATTAAAATTGAGATGGTATAGATGACTATTTAGCCCTCTCAAACGCTGCTACTTAGATAGTAAGTTGGTACAATGTTCCTTGAAAGTAATTTGGCAACATGTGTCAATAGACTTAAAAATATTTCTCTTGGTTGGGCGTGGTGGCTCATGCCTGTAATCCCAGCACTTTGGGAGGCCTAGGTGGGCAGATTACCTGAGGTCAGTAGTTTAAGACCAGCCCAACCAACATGGCGAAACCCCGTCTCTACTAAAAGTACAAAAATTAGCCAGGCATGGTGGAGGACGCCTGTAATCCCATCTGCTCAGGAGGCTGAGGCAGGAGAATCACTTGAACCCAGGAGGTGGAGGTTGCAGTGAGCCGAGATCGCATCACTGCACTCCAACTGGGGCAACAAGAGTGAGACTCCATCCCAAAAAAAAAAAAAAATTCTCTTATTTGACATGATTTATTTCATTTAAAGAATCTGTAAGAAAGAATAATGAGGAATAATAAGGTTAAAAAACCATGATTTTGAAGATTGCTTAAAGACTTAAGAAAATCCTCATGCTGTACTGATATATTATTAAGAAGTGAAATATGTTCTACACAAAACTGTGTATATATATATATATATATGCACAGAAACACATATATTTATGATTGTGTATATTTGTATATGATTTTATTTTTGTATAATGTACATATATTTTACAGACGCATAACTGGTATGCAGAAAAATAACTTGAGGAAATTATATAAAAATGTCACCAGTATTTATATCTGTGTTTTAGAGTCATAAGAATTTTTATCTTCTTTTTACACTCCTATAATGAACATTTTCTATAAATGCAATTATTTCTTTTATAATTAAAAAATTATAGAATAGTTCCTTTGAACAACCTATAACTTTTAATCTATTTTTAATGGATTTTTAATATAATTTCAGCATTAAGTATGCAAATCAACTGTTTACCTTCAAGTTATCTGCCCACGATCCAGGAAACAATCAAATAAATTATTTCTTATTAGACAATATTTTCTATCAAGACTCTGTGTCAACACATATATTAGAACTAATAATAAGATAAATGAACCAATCTATTATTTTTGTTCCTTTATTGGAGGAGGAAACATGTATAAGAATAATCAAGTCTTAAGCAACTTAACAGTTTTTTTTCCCTCATAAGTGAGAATTTCAGGGGTTTTTGCTTCAGTTTTGTCTGTATAGAGTCCTCCCTGCCACTTCCAATTATCTTTTCTATTTCCCAGCAGAAAACTATTTTCCAATAGAATTAGTTACACACAAAAAAAAACCCTTTTTCTTTTGTCAGATTTTAGTCATCTGGTACTAAAAGTTGCTATGATTATATAAATAGAGAAAAAATTGGTGGTTTCTGATAATCAGTAACAAAACAGAAAAATAAGCATTAAATTTTTAATTTCAATTATAAGGATATTTTCTCATTAATAAATAACATATATAGCTGAGAATGCCACATATATTTCTCAATAGCATAAGATATAACTTAAATTAGTAAAAATTATATTAATTTTGATTATAATTAGAATTGCCCGCTTCATAATGTGTCATCTTTTATACAAAGAATTTTCAAATCGGTTGCAATTATGCACATTAAGTGTGAATTAAGTCCTTTTGCCATTTGGCTTCCTTAAAAAATATGTTACAGTAAATAATACTTTCTAGTGTGCACACAATAAAGTAGGGAAAATTTGGACTGTCTATCCCTTTATACTAAAGATGGCTATAAACCTGCATATTAATTCTATTTTGTCCAGCATCAATTATAATTTGAGTGTTATAACATAATTGCACACTAATGATATAAAAATATCATTATGATGTTTTTCTGAAAGCATCATTACTTATCTAATTTCTTGCTTGCTTCTGTTTTTTTTTTTTTAAATTTTATCCTGTATTGAAAATGTGTACCTAGAAGCATGCCTCAGCTATCTCTTTAGTAGGCCAATTTTTGGCATCTGCCACCTGCACGTTTAGTTCTACCATACCATCTGCTTCAGCTTGTCTTCATTTCTGCTTGGGCTCAGAACACAATACCCCAAAATATGGTTCCTTGGCATGTTAATCTGTCTTTGTAAGTTTTATTTTCAGGCCCAGTCAGGAACCCTAAGGAGGTTGAGGAAAGCTTCCTTCCCTACTCCTCCATTTATGACTCACACTTTCTACTTTCTGTGGGTACCTTTTGCCTTTACACTAAATTTCCCAACCATCTCATTCATAAAATTTTATCCCTTTACAAAATCTATTCTTTAAATATGAGACTGAAAATCAGTGCAATACAGATTTTTAACTGTAATCAGTAATAAGAATTACTGGAGTGACAAAAGCAAATACTTACAAAGGATGAAGTAGATATCTTCTAAAGGAGTGAAGTGGCCTGGTAGGATCAATACAGTAACAGAATTTTGGCCAAAGAGAAAAATTACTGGTCCAGAGAGGGAGGATGCAGAATCTTATGAAACAATAAAGAGATTAGTAGAAAATTAGCCATTTCAGAACTAAGGAAAAATTAATTCCACGTATTCAAAATCAAGAAATAAAATGTAAGAAAAGTTAGGGTAAAAACTGAGTAATGGTAAAACTTTAAAAAAAAAGCCCAAGGGATACATAATACATTGATATTATGATGTAAGAAATTTATTTAAAAACACTTCAGTGTGGAGGCTGTGACTAAAATCTATATTAGTTTCAATTTGCATCCTAGGGGCAGCAGTTGCCCTAATCAAGAATTCACACTCTGGAGGTGGTCTGCTGTCCTTTAATCTAAAAGGCCATCCCCAAAGGCAGCTTCTACTGGTGTTTCAGCTATCTTTCTCTTCCATCAACACTTGAAGCTACACTAATTTATACAGTGAAAGTTAAAATGCTTATCCATTGGTAAAATTAGTAGTTTCTCAACTAGCACAGAGGATTTTGGACAGGAGCTTTCTTTGATAAAATTGAAAAAATTGTGTGTGTTTTTATTTAAATAAATTCATGCACCCACCTCTAAGTGGGAAGATCAGACACCAATAAATGGTCAGCAGGATCTGGACCTTATTCAGTTGGTTGCAAGACAGAGTCTGTAACTCTTTTGCGAACCTAAAATTTTCTGAGAGAGGTCTCAATCAAATTTAGAAAATTTATTTTGCTAAAGTTAAAGGATGCATCTGTGACACAGCCTCAGGAGGTCCTGATGACATATGCCCAAGGTGATTGGAATACAGCTTGCTTTTATACATTTTAGGGAGACATGAGACACCAATCGCTATGTGTGCAATGTACATGGGTTTGGTTCAGAAAGGCGGGGCAACTGAAAGGGGCAGGGGTCATGGCTTCCAGGTCATAGATAAGAGATAAAAGGTTGCATTCATGTCTTTGATCACCATTTCACTGAATACATAATTCACATGTGTTGGGGTAGAGTAGTAGTCACTTATGCCTTAGTCTGATTCAGTGAATCTGCATTTTTACATAAACAATAGGGCAGAAGAAGCAATAAGATATGCCTTTGTCTCAGGTGAGCAGAGGGATAACTATGAGTTCTGTCCTTTGCTCTGCACCTGTGAAGATAAGTGATTAATGTACATTACCGGGGTGAAATTCAACAGAACTGTTTTAGGGTAAAGATCTTGAGGCCCACAAGGAATTTCCCTGTGGGAAAATTGTGAGGGTGATATGTAGCTTTTTTGTCTTTATAGCTATCTCATTCTGAAATAAAACGGGAGGCAGGTCTGCTAGATGCAGTTCCCAGTTTGACTTTTCCCTTTGGCTTAGTGATTTGGGGGTCCCAAGATTTATTTTCATTTCACAGATTTTTTGTTTCCTGAATAACAAATGTCTACTTGTGTGTCAGAGCTTATTCTGAAGCTTCTTTTCAGTAGAATCTGGTAGTGAGAGAAAGAAATATGAAGAAGGAAGAAGGAAGAGGGAGAAGGGGAAGGGGGAGGGGAGGAAATAACTAAACAGTTTTCTAATTCCTAACTAAATTAGGCTGGTTCCAGAAAAATCAGTTTGCAAAATTAGGAGCACGATAGGCATGAACTGAAGATCCCCTGTGAACAAGGCAGGATGTTCAATATTGACAAAGGTCTCAACAAACATCTCACATTTTTATGATGGAAGATAGTTTCAGAGGAAGGTTTCTACCAAAGTTAGGCTTCTAGCCTCCTGCAGAAACTGGGAGATGGGAGAGTTATCTTCCTTGATGATTTTGTGTCAGAATTGTCTCCCAGGTCCTTCAAAGAGGCATTCTGGATCTTAAAGTTGGTAAGAGTCTTGTTTAGCTTTTTAAAAGATTTACACATCTTTTAAAGACAGAAATAATTTACAAGTTTTCTAAAGCAAATGTTCTCAGAAAAGGGAGAAAAGGCTCTCAGTCTCAACAGGGAGAATTGAGAATCTGATTTTATATACGTATTCGTATATTTCTGATTTTGTATTTGTATTTGTATTAAGGCAATTGAATTTCTATAGGACAGGACAGAATTTACATATGTAAAGAAAGAATTGTATTTGTTGCCATCAGTTAGCTACAATGTACAAACTTGCAAAATAGCTCAAAGACAATGAAAGACTAGATTCAGATCATCTGGAAGAGTGTACTCCAGGCCGGGCGCGGTGGCTGACGCCTGTAATCCCAGCACTTTGGGAGGCAGAGGCGGGCAGATCACGAGGTCAGGAGATTGAGGCCATCCTGGCTAACACGATGAAACCCCGTCTCTACTAAAAATACAAAAACTTAGCCGGGCGTGGTGGCGGGCACCTGTAGTCCCAGCTACTCGGGGGAGCTGAGGCAGGAGAATGGCATGAACCCGGGAGGCAGAGCTTGCAGTGAGCCGAGATAGCGCCACTGCACTCCAGCCTGGGTGACAGAGCAAGACTCCGTCTCAAAAAAAAAAAAAAAAAAAGTGTACTCTAGAGGTACATAACTGAAGTACAATTTTTTTCTCTACAGTATTAGTGATTTCAATTTGAAATATGTAATGATTTAAGATATATTTTAATTTGTAATGATTTAAGATATATTTTAATTTGTAAGGTATTTGATAATTTGGTTATTGATATGCAGTAGTTGAGTGCTTAAGACAAGCTAATCTGTTTCATTTATAAATTTGACTTATTAGATTTGCCAGAATTGCTCTGAGAGCTTCAATAATTCTCCAATTCCACATATATCTTATAATTCTCAGAGCAGGAATTATAACTGAATCTCCTTTCCACATTACCATTCTGATCCTCCAAAATTAGGCACAACAAATTGAATGATAGGTACTCAGATTTTCTCAGTTTCTAAAGAGATATGTTGCGGAATAAACAGAAATTATAGAACTTTCAGTAGGCCAGCATGTAGAATAAGTATTTCTCAATCTTTATTTTCTTACAAATTTTATAATTTTTCTGTCATAAATGAATACAACTATTACTTGTGTTATGTCATATTTATCATAACTAATAACTTATTATTTATGTAGTTTAATTCAGTATTAAGTTAACTCTTTTTCTAATTTATTCTATTCCTATACAGTGATATCTTTGGAATTATGAATTCAATGTACATATGCTTTTAAAAAAAATTTAATAGATGTAAGTATAAATGTTTGTCAGTGAACTGCCTACAATTATCCGATATAGCATTATATGTGTACATAACACATTCTTCAAAACACTAAGTTGAAGGAAAAAGGAAAGTTCTTCCTCAGTGGACAAAAATACATCTAGAAGAGCAGAGAGGTTTCACACAGTTGTCAGGTTTTGGATCATGACTTTTCATTCCATTTTTATTAAGTGTGTGATGCAAGAAGGTTACAGCTCTAACGACCCCTGAAATTGAACAACCAACATGTAAAGAGCACTATCAAAATGAATTAGTTTATTTGAATGCACTTCATAAATTACAAAAGAACTTAGAACACTGAAAAGCTTCAGAGCTTCACAGCAAGCCATAACTATGGGACGAGCCAAAACTTCCATAAGTTTATAAATTATTAAGGAAGAATATACAATTTTTAAAAGTTTAGATAAAGAGGGAAGATAAGGCCAGGGGTGGTGGCTCATGCCTGTAATCCCAGCACTTTGGGAGACCAAGGCGGGCAGATCGCTTGAGCCCAGGAGTTCGAGATGGTGAAACCCCATCTCTACTAAAAAATATGAAAATTAGTAGGATGTGTTGGCACACGCCTGGAGTCCCAGCTACTTGGGAGGCTGAGGAAGGAGAATCACTTGTGCCTAGGAGGTGGAGGTTGCAGTGAGCCAAGATCTCACCACTGCACTCCAGCTTGGGTGACAGAGTGAGACCCTGTCTCAAAAAGAAAAAAACAGGGATGATAAGTCCTAAATTTGTTTTCTTTCATCCATGTTTTAATTAATTATTTATGTCCTTAATCTTTGAATGCAATGTTAATTGAGACTCACAAATGTAAAAATTATAGCTCTTTTCTAAAATGCATCAATGTTAGGCTGTGTCTCACTTCACTTCTGATGAGGCTGTTAATTACTAGGTCTATGAAAATCAATGATAGTCCATTAACTCATTGTAGTCAAAGACCCAGGATTATTCCTCTCCATTCATAGAGTAAGTCCGGTTAATTCATTCATAACTTAGGACTGGCATTTTTCTCAAAAGAAAATTGAAAGAAGACATTTAAGTGTTGCCCTCTTACAATCTTCAATATTTGAGATTCTTTGCCTAAGCAATTTCCTTTGCATAAGATCTTGTAAGTTTAGGATTTCATTGTTTTAAGTTTCAAAATTCAAATATTGTGCCAAGTAGCCAAGATTGAAAATATTAATCTATCTAGATATTGTCCCAATTGAGATCTGGAAACAATGGTCACATGTTGAAATTCTGCCTACACTCATCCATTTTATGCAAAATGGTGGAAACTTGAATAGGTAAGGGCAAAAATAGGCTAACAAAACAGTGAGACTGAGAAGGAACACATTCTAAAGTAAGCAGTCCTATGATTACATGAGTAAATTTTATGACAAAAGAAACAACTATAAATAATTAAAAACTTAAGCATCTATTTTCCAATTCAGTTTTGAATTACCATCAAAAATTATAGATACCTTTACTTTTGGGGTTTGGAGTCTTGGCCTTTTCCTAGTTTGCTTCCTTCCCTTGCTTTTGGGAATCCTTATTCTGTTTTTAGACTTTTCTCCTGTGATATTTCCATTTACTGATTCCTAATTCTATTACTTCTGTAAAATTCAATTTCCAAAAAATACTCAACCTCTAGAGATAGTAAAAGTTGATAGTTCACTTCTTTCCTCATAAAATGGACTTTGTGTAGTTTCATTTAGAGTTGACTTGCTTCCCAACTCCATACATATTACATAACGAAGTGGATTATTCAAAATTAAAAACTGAGTTCCTGCTAAAATTCCATAAATTTGTATTGTGAGCCTATTTAATGTAGAGAGGATTGTTTTAACTCTGTATTTAAAGAATAAAAATAGGATAAGGAAACCTTTTAATTTTTCAAAACAAATAATTTTTATTGCACAGGCAGGCATTCTATATACCTATATATTTATGTGCTATGCCATCAATACATTATATACCATATCATTTTATAATTTCCTACTTTATGATTATTTTTGCAGTATAGACACATTTTAAAGTATAATTAGTGCTTATAGTTTCCCAACGCATTAAAACAATCCCTTGATTCACATATTTGTATTAGGTTTTTCCTGTTTTTATGGTATTCCACATGAGATTTAAATAGTCAGACTGTAATTACAGCAAATTGCCCAGCGTAAGTATATGCCTATATTAATGGAGCATCAGAACACTTTGTATCAGAAAAGTGTTATTCATTGTTCTTATTGGATGCTAAGGCTGGGGGCAAATCCTTTCTGTGAAAATAAAACAAATATTAAAGTTACTTCGGAAGAGAATAAAAATAATAGTATAACTTGTTTAAGTAATGGTCAAAATGCAGAACTAGATAGAATGTGTTCCTAATACTTATGAAATAATTTAACCTGTGGATTTGACATGGGTACTTTTGGAAAAAAAATTAGGATATGCAGTTACTTTAAGATATAAAATGAAATATTATTAGGAGCTTCCAGTTTTAGATGACTCTGATGTGGCTGGCATTGAACTAAGCTCTATTCCAAAGCTATTCTATTTGTTATTTTAACATTATTCCAATTGTTAGTACTTTTCTTTTTACATTTTGCACAAGATCTCACAGTTGGGAACCAATGGAGATTTATTTGATTGAAGTATTTTTGAATCTAAAGTCTATGTACTTTTCAAGATGTTACACTTTTTCTCTCCATATCACATTAGAAGGAAAATGTTATTTCAGTCCACTATTGTACTCCTAGAATATTTCAATTCTTCATTTACTCATTAGTTCAGAACACTTAAATCAGAACCTCCTCAAATAACATCATTGTCATGGTAAAATAAATTATCCAACTAATAATTAAAGACCACATATGTTGAGCATGCTCTGTTGCTCAACATGCTCTGTTGCTGATGTTGAGAAATAACATCAAAAATGTTATTTCTTACCTTCTCAATAAACATTTAAGATGGGCATCATTCTCTCGGTTCTGTAGATGAGACATTAAGTTACAGAAGGCCAAGTTTCTAAGTAACTCAGTGGAATTGGAATCCAACCCTCTTACTGTTGAAACTCAAATGACTTGCACAGCATTATTTCCCCACGCTGCAATTAACACATTTTCCTACCAAAAGTTCTGTCTTTCTATAACTCTAGTAAAGCTAATGAAGTAACTTCAGTGAAGTAGAAATGAATTACTGATCTAAACAGATTAAGAGTGTTACACTTCTAAGCCTTAACTAATTTTGATATAATTTTGCCCTTAATTTTGCCTTCAAAAAATTTTTATTGTGAGTGCTTTGTGATGATATCTGCCATAGGTCTTGGGGATCCATGTTTCTAATGTGTTGAAGAAATGTTCCTTAATTCAGAATATACTTTAAGAGTATTTAAAAATCAACAGTTTTTTTTTTCAGTAAATGCCATAGTCATATAATTTAATGCAAAATAATTAGTAAGAAATTTATTCTCTTTGTTCTATATTTCTCTTTATTCTATCATCAATATTTCTTTTTTATTTACCTTTTAAATTCAAGGGTACATGTGCAGGTTTGAGCCATGGTCTCTCAGCGTGTGGGCAATATATAGAATAATTTAGTCCATCATCCCAATATAGCAAACTTTTATCATTTTCCTGATCCTTTATGGCTATAAATTAATCTGAACTGTTCTATGGAATAGCATATCCAATTCATTAACTAAGGAATCAGAGTATTTGATGTAAATACTTGTTGGTCATCTTCTTTGTGCATAAACCAATCTGCACACTTTAAACAACACACATTATTCAAAGGACTTTATACTCTTTTTCAATTTCTCTGTAATAAATTACCACAAACTTAGTGGCTTAAACAAACATACAATTATTATCTCACAGTTTCTGTAGACGAAAAGTCCAAGCACAGCACAGCTGGATTCTCTGTTCAAGGTCTCACATGGCTGAAATAAGTTGAGATATGTTCTCATTTAGAGTGCGAGTTTCTCTTCCAAGCACATTCAGGTTGTTGGCAGAATTCAGTGTCTTGCAGTTGGAGGGCTGCAGTCCTCATTTTCTTGCTGGCTGTTGGCCAAGGTGGTTTACAGCTCCTAGAGGCTACCTTCAGGTTTTGTCCATGTGGGCCTCTCACTACCTGGCAGCTTGCTTTCTAATTAAAGGCCAGCTGGAGAATCCCTCCTAATGTGTTAGAGTGGAGTCCCATATAATGCATTATAATCACAGAAGTGACTATCCGATCACATTCACATGTTCTACCTACACTCACTGGGAAGGGATCTTACAGGGTATGTACAACGGGAGGTTGAAATCTTGAAGGCCATCTTAGAATTTCAGGGCCAATTCAGAAACTGGGCTGGCTATTCAGGAAATATTTATTAAGATTGCTATATGCGCTAGATGCTGTGCTCTGCTCTGAGTTATAGAGATAAATGACACAGGTCTTTCACATATGTTGTGCTCTACTCTGCGTTATAGAGATAAACAACATTGGTCTTTGACACAGAGGAGTGCTTGCGGGAACATTGGAATATTACAATGTGATTAAAGGGAATTGGGGACACTGGAAGAAGTACTATCAAAACATAGTGAGAAAAGTGATTAAAATTTTTGACTTTTTCGAAATGGTACTGTGTCTGACATCTCTTGCTTAACACGATGCTTTTGATTGAGATTTCTTAAGTTTTTGCTTGCATTAGCAATTGGCTCATTTATATTGCTAGGTATTATGCCATTGTATGATCACACCACAATTTTTGTATCTTTTAGCCCACTGATGGACAATGAGTTATTTACAGCTGTTGGCTATTATGAATGAAGCTGCTATAAATATCTATGTACATGAGCTGTGGGGTTTTCCTTTTATTTTTAGTTAAATAGCTCAGAGTGAAATTGCTGTATTATAGCTAGCTATTCTAGATATGGATAAGGCAGGCTGTAATTCCACTTACAGTAAAAGTTTTAAGGAGGGTTATTATTCCCATGGAGTGAGAACACACTGGCTTTCCATCTTTCTCTCTCATTCTGTCTCTATAGATAATGATTTGGTCTCTTTTACTTTTATAATTATAATTGGGAGAAAACTGCAATACACTTAATTAATATGCAGACACTGCAGTATTTCTGTATTAGTTAATTGAAAGTCAAAACATCAAAAGAAACAAAAAAGAAATAGCTGAATGATCAAATGTGATTAATTAGTGTGACTGAATATTAGGAAATCAAATCAGTGTTTTAACTGCACATTTTCTTTTTTCAGTGTTAAAACAAGATTTCTTAAACTTTATAGCAGCCCGCATCTCTATTTAGTGGCCTTTCTTTATTTTCAAGAGTGGATTGTGGCTAATAGGCTGAACTCTTAGAGCATTCATAGTTTATTTAAAGAAAATAGTAATACATTTCTGGCATAAATTGATACCATATACAAGCTACAATACCTCACATTATTAGAATCAAAAGGCAGTATCTTCTCTAGGGAAAACATTTACTGAATGGCTGATTAAAATACTTAAATGAGGGGGAAAGCCCCAAAACATGCTACTCTAATATTGAAAAAATGTGAGAAATCCCAAATATTTAGAAAATTATTGTCAACTGAAATATTTAAAAATTGAAAGCTTTGCTCAAAATATTGTTTCTTGCAGTCAAAAATCATAATTTTTTTGAAAAACCGTAAGATTTAGCATTAAAAACAAGATTTCTAATATATCATTCTTTCAACACATGACAGAAGCTGAATTCCAAGGACATCTGAATTTAGATGCACAGAGGAGTAGCTATAAATATTTTTGGCCCATGAGTCATATTGCAGGGGCAGAAAATTGTCCCATTTTTATATTTCTCCCTTGACTATTGTTGTAGAGGAAAAACTATCTCCACCAGCCTGGTTCATTTTGAATGACTGAGAAAGTCTGTATGAACTTTCATAGCTAGCTGAGTATAAGTCTTCTTCTTTAGTTATAAGAAAAAGAAAAAATAATAAGAATATGAATAAATATAATAAGAAATTAGAGAACTAATAGGAAGAAGAAATAATAGCTTTAAGACTATGAAATATATTTACCCCCACCAAAGAAAATTTTAAAATGAGGAAAAAAAGAAGACAAATTTAAATATTTAATTCATTTACTTAAAATTCAAGAGAATATATTGCATTAACAAATCAAAATAAGTGATAATAAAGAGGAAAAATGCAAAATTCAAAAGGAAACTCCATGGTAATGAAAAGTTTGAATTTAGTAACAAATACCATTATGGACTCTATAAATAATAGATGTATATAGGGGATAACTGATTTAGTAACAAAGAGCATAAGCCTCAGCAGTTTTTATGGAACTCAAAGAAGAAATAAAGAGAAAAAATAAATGAACCATAAAACCAAGTCTTAAGAGAATCTATTTGGAATAGGAGTTGTAGAAGGAGAGAGAGAAAAACAAAGAGCATGAGCGCAAATGAAGGATAAATATATAATTTCCTTGATAACAGTTATTCAAGAAATGCATATATTTGTATTTTGAATAGATATTGGACATTGTAAGTAAAATAATTATTTTAAAAAGCCCATGGCCATTGTCTTCATTAAACTTAAAGAGTATGGAGAGAAAAAGACATTGATGTAATAATCTTGCAAAAAGAAGGTAAAAGGTCATCTGTTGTCAGTGCTATAAACGTTTCATCTGTGGTACAGTTCTACCATGTCATGGGGGATTCACCAAGACTGTCATGGAGGAGATAGGAAATCTCCCCTCCTATTTGAATGGTCCTCATCAGTGGGATTTTCTTAGTAGGAACAGTGGAGGATGAAAGGAATAGAGAATAAGTGTGACAGGCAGAGGAAAGGGCAGAGGCAATAGCTGAACTAAGAAAGGCTGGAGTTGCCAGCGTCAAGGGCTCAGTAAGAAGCCGAGAAACTTCATTAAAAGGAATTAATAACGGGAGAAATGCTTGAACATCATGGAAAATAAACAAGGTCTACAAACATCTAAGCTTCGAAAGCTGTTTTTATATATATATATATTTTTAAAATACCAATATTTTGCTGATTTCTGTCATCTCCACACTTCCATATTCTGGGAGACAATGATGTAATAGTATTTAGAAACATTCAAGGGAGAAAAAAACACTATAACCCAAGCTATCTTTTGTCACCCCTTATATCCAACTTCTTGTCTTTTTTTTTTTTTTCTTTAGACAATCTTGCTCTGTTGCCCAGTCTGTAGTGCAATGGTGTGATCTCGGCTCACTGCAACCTCCGCCTCCCGGGCTCAAGCGATTCTCCTACCTCAGCCTCCTGAGTAGCTGGGGCTACAGGCACATGCCACCACGCCTGTCTAATTTTTTTGTATTTTTAGTAGAGACAGGTTGGCCAGGCTGGTCTCAAACTCCTGACCTCAAGTGATTTGCTTGTCTCAGCCTCCCAAAGTGCTGGGATCAACTCCTTGCCATTTGACCAGAAATAATAATATTCCTGGATTGTATTTTCTAAACTTTCTCCTGGGTTTCTTTGTTTTATTCACAATATAGTTGATGCTGAGCAAATGTTACTTACTCCATTCAGCATTTTCAACTAAAAGATACAGACGCTTTTTGCCAAAAGGTTTCCTGGGTTTTTGCCTGGGTTAGAGCTTTTGGAACCATTACATTTCTTATCATTCATGTAATTTTGTGTACAATATTTTATGCAACTTGTTAGAATGTTTCCATTCTCTCCACCTCCCCCACCCCAGGGCAATATCTTTCATAGCATAATGTAGTACATTGCTCAAAATTTTCTTGAGATGAATTTAACATCTAAAAGTGTGTTTTGTATTTTAAGATTAAGTCATTTTAGCTTGAAAATTTTTGCTTTCCTAGTAGGGGTAAAAGAGATAGCTATGTTGCTTTTTAATTGTTTTCTATGAATTTTCAACATCCTGCTTTGGACAATAAGTCCCTTTGTCTAAGGAATCCATTTGGAGGAATTTTTTTTTTACCAGACTCGGCATCATTAATATTAATACAAAGCCACCTCATTCATTGAAGATGCATTATTTCAGAGATGAAGAAGAAATACAGCTCAAGGTTCTGGGTTGTTTTTCTTTTTCTTTTGATGACTTTGGTACCAAAGGCTTCTGTTTTTAATAATCATATTTAATGTAGCAAATAATTTGTAACATTTTCCTTATTTTTAGCATGATTCTTCACTATGTTTTTCTCTTGAGTATCAAGAAGATTTCTGCTTCCAATGCCTACTCAAAATGGAAACCTGCACACTTGCCTAAGAGAAAATATAGTCTAGTCCTTCTCTTTCTATATGGATTTAAGGGGTATTAATATGTATTTTTATATTTATGAGAGCCCAGAAAAAATCCAACACACTGCTCTAGGATAATTCTTGGATAGATTTATGATCCTTGTCTTAAAAGATTATAGATTCTCAGGGGTCACCTGCGAACTCTTGTCTCAATACTTCTCTGGAAGCTTTCCCAGTGCATTGTGTTACATCTTCTCATCCTTTGAAACACATATTGAGACATTAAAAGACTCAGTTTTAATATCTATTTTCTTAACATGTAAAGTGAAACTCAGTTGAGAACTATGTGGTATCTTAATTACATTATTTTGCCTAAGACTCATCTACACAAATTCATGCTCTAGTTAACAAAATATTTAGCCAATTTTTCATTATTTTGCCTAACAAAAAAAAAATAAGAATGACTCAATATTTTTTCAAATTGTCAATTTACAAAAAAAAAAAAGAGTCTAAGATACAAAGAAGGTAAAGTTATACAGGTAGATAATGATAGACTCAGAACTAGAAGATTACCTTTCATCTCACTGATCTCACTGATTTTTCCATTGGAAAATAATTTCATCCTTGATTTGAAATCAGCTGAACAACACAGACACACACACACCATACACACACATACACACACACACACACACTGATACTCTCATCATTGTCACAGACTTAATTGAAACAATGTTTTCAATTAAATTTTGGCCTGAATTTCTTGGGTACCCAATAATGAACTTTCCAGTACAGTAGAGTTCTAGGAGAATTTTAGGTTGTTCATAATTTACATTGAGCTATTAGTAATCTAAATTGCACAGAATGTTGGTTGCGCATGGAGTTTAAAACAGAATTTTTAGATTGGTAAAATAAATGTCAGGCACAAACATTTAAAATATGAATAAAAGATAAGGGCTTCAGAATTGCATTTCATTTTGTCTTCTTTGTGTTAAGCATATTTAAACATACTTATTTTCTTATCCAAATGCCCAGAATTATTTGGGATGCCTTTATTTGCACACTCGAATAGCTCTCCTAATGTAGCATATGATCATTTTCAGTCTATACCAAGCTATTATACTATTTGGTGGTCATGTTTTTAAATATCGCTTTTCCTGGTTAAATTGCACCTAATGTAGCGAAGTGTTTGCAACTAAGCTCTAATGTATGAACACTTTACCTTGACATTTGAGATTGTAGAGTACTGGAAGTCATTGAATGTAGAGCTCATGAATAAAAGTGATTATGGATTCAGAGGATTTAGCTTTTCTAACAAAATACCTAATAACATGACTTCAATTCTCAATTTCTTATGGCACTTTTTGAAAAGGTCAGCTTGCTTCCAGTTTAAAAAAATCAATTGATCTTCAAAAAAATGTTTACATTCTGTTTTGTTGTCTTATTTCAGGAAGAGAGTCAAAATTACGGTGATCATCATTGAAATATATGCCAGTGTAGTGAGGAAAGAGTTTCAACTGCTTCTACTTGCTTTGAATAACGCTTTTGCAAGCAGCAATCAGGAAGCAGTGCTATCACCTTGCTGCTGCCTAATGGCCCTGAAAGGCAGTTGTAACATCCTTGGAAGCCCCATTAGAGCAATTCCTGAGTTTATAATAAAGAGGACTGGGTCTTTTATCCTAAATGTAGCAAGGAATAAAATTTATTTCTGAAAGAGGTAGTGCTTCTGCCTTTTTGTCCCCTAAGTCTTATATATCTTGCTGGAGGATAAACAAGGACTGAATCCCAAGGGGAGTATAAAGCACCAAGAGAAAGCAAAATGCAACTTATGGCAATATTTTCCTTATGCCTGGTCCAATTTATGAGGGACGCGTTTGGAAAATGCTCTGAAAAGCCAGAGTCCCTACAGAGATACATTAGGATTTCAAACATTAGACAAATTAACTGTCAGCTGAATGCAATTTTTGTTGGGATGCAGCTGTATGCCATCAACAACCAACATTTTCTGTAGCCGGTAAATGAGTGTTTAAGACCTGATGTGGGGCAGGTCACAGTGGCTCACGCCTATAATCCCAAGCACTTTGGGTGGCCAAGGCGGGTGGATCACCTGAGGTCAGGAGTTCAAGCCAGCGTGGCCAACACAGCAAAACCCCATCTCTACCGAAGAATACAAAAATTAGCCAGGCATGGTGGTGCACGCCTGTAATCCCAGCTACTCAGGAGGCTGAGGCAGGAGAATTGCTTGAACCTGGGCCACGGAGATTGCAATGAGCCAAGACTGTGCCATTGCGCTCCAGCCTGGGTGACAGACAGAGAGAGACTCCGTCTCAATTCAAAAAAAATAAATAAAAATAAAAGACCTGATGAGGGGAATCTGAGGAGTGCAATGCAGCACCTACTCACTCTAAAACTTCTTTAAAAACTCCTTTTTTTCTACTCCAAAAAATACAGACCCGACAACAAACAAAACTCATGATGATTTGAAAGTACTGTCTTATTTTTCTCTTGCTGTATAACAAATTGCTACGAAATTCAAAAGCTTTAAAAAAAAAACTCTCAAAGATTTATCATCTCACAGTTTCTGTAGGTCATTAATGCCAGTAGTGATGCCTCTGGCTCAAGTTTACTCATGAGATTACAGTCAGGCCTTTGGCCAGGTCTTTGATCTCATCTGAAGGCTATCTTAGGGGAGAATCTGCTTCCAAGCTCACTCACATGGCTGCTTACTGGATTCAGTTTCCCACAGGCTATTGGACTGAGGCCTCCATTCCTTGGCATGGGGGTATTGTTATGGGCTGAAGATTCATATGTTAATGTCTTAACTGCTAATACCTTAAGACCTGACTATATTTGGAGATAGTGCCTTTATAGAGGTGATTAAATGAAGATTTATTTTTTAGGGTAGGAAAAAATACAAGCTGACTAATGTCCCTATAAAAAGAGGGTTAAACATTGAAGAGTACTGGTGCACAAAGGGAGAACCATGTGAAGAGGCAGCAAGAGGGCTGGATCTGCACGCCAAGGAGAGTAGCTTCAGGAGGCACCAACCCTTCTTGCACCTTGATCTTTGACTTGTGGGAAATAGACTTCTGTTGCTTAAGCCACACAGTCTGTGGTGTTTTGATATGGTGGCCCTAGCAAATAAATGCAGGCCTCCACATCGGGCAGCACACAAGATGGCAGCTAGCTTCCCTCAGAGTGACAGAGCAAGAGCGTACATCTACAATGAAAGCCAGTCTTTTTGTAACCGAAGAAGCAACACCTGAGTACTTCTGTTGTAGCCTATTCATTGGGAGTCAAGTAGTCCAGCTCCATCTCCAAGAAAGGGGGTGACTTGAGGGCATAAATGTCATGAGACAGCCCGGGTGCAGTGGCTCACGCCTGTAATTCCAGCACTTTGGGAGGCTGAGGCAGGCGGATCACAAGGTCAAGAGTTCGAGACCAGCCTGACCAACACGGTGAAACCCCGTCTCTACTAAAAATACAAAAATTAGCTGGGTGTGGTGGTGCATGCCTGTAATCCCAGCTACTCAGGAGGCTGAGGCAGGAGAATCGCTTGAACCCGGGAGGCAGAGGTTGCGGTGAGCTGAGATCGCACCACTGCACTCCAGCCCGGGTGATAGAGTGAGACTCCATCTCAAAAAAAAAAAAAAATCAAAATAACGAGACAGGGATTATTAGGGGCCATTTCAGAGGCTGCCTGCCAGACACTAACGTAACATCTGTAATAATGTAGGAAATATGAGATAAAGGAAGGAAAAAAACAGAGAATAACATACAATGAATGGATTATAAAGGATCTGGAATAAACAACCTTTAAGAGTGTCTGGATGGGGTTTAAACTGGAGAAGAGATGTTAAACACAGGACGGCTACAACAAGTTTTCGCCACATGGTGTTACAGAAAAATAACTGTAGCAGATCCCTAGCAGTCATCATCCTGGCAACGAGGGCTAAATTCAATTTTCTTTTCAACACCACTACCTATAGCTGCTATCTTTTCTTAGAAGCAAAAATAAAAAATAGCCAGTTTACAATAGGTGAGTGTCATCAGTTGCCCTTGTACTTCTGCTCTGCATTCACTTTTACCCCCTCCAGCCCTTCCCAGTTTTCATGCTTGACTTAGTAACACCTCTTCGTGAGTAAAGTTTGTAGTCAATTACTGTGACAATAGCAACTATTCCCCTAAATATACATTCAAATTAAGGGTTACATAGCGGACATTTCTAAAGCAGAACATTCCTATAAAACAAACAAAACTGAAACCAGCTGGAATGTTATTTTCGGTGCATCGTCCTGCCTCAGGACCATTATTAGTTTTTCAGGACTCATTTCCAAAGATTCACTTAGGGGAAAAAAAAGCAGATTTTGTTATAATTAAACATAAGTTAAATATATGCTTTTGAAGTTGAGAAAGAGGTGCTGAGAACTCCAAACTTTCTTTCTTTTACAAAAAAAATCGTTCTATATATTTTAGGTAGTAAAAAGACCACCAGAGGCATATTTATGATTATCTTTGTCTATAATTATAACAAAACAAAGAGGAAGAAGATAATTTTGGAAATATTTGAAGGTCATAATTTCTTGTTCGAGTACTATATTTTAAAGTCAGTAGAACACATTCATAAGCTTAAGTTCTGAATTACTTGGTCACTTAAAAATATGCTCACAAGAAAAAGGTATTTATACATTTGGAATAGGGCGCACTGGGTATTACAACCTCTGGTTTTGAAAGTTGGCATTGGGGATGTTTACAGCTCCATTACCAAAGCACCCATGCTCATTCATTCTCCATCTCCACCTTTTCTGTCCCATCTAAGTGGCATAGTAGTTAAGAGAATGGAGCCTGGGTTTGGATTGGCTGAGTTTGAATCCTAACTCTATTTTTTTATTAACTACAAAATACTTCAGAAACTCACTTTCTTAATCTGTAGTGTGGGAATAATAATGGCAATTATATTGATGAGGAATAAGAGCATTTTTTATCCAGCTTGGCAGATGGTAAGCATTCAAACCGTATCTGTTATTAAGTTATTAAGTTATTACCCTGTCTGAAATGTCTTTTTTCAATCTGTCAGCTTGTCAAGTTGTTCAAGATACAACTTAAATGTCTCCTGTTCTAGAGTTTTCCTGTAAATCCTCCAAAGTCCCCCTGGGCTTTCCTGTCATTTCACACTTATCTTTATGTATGTACTTTTCACTTTTAATAGTCTTGTCTACAACTTCTTCCTTGGGTCCCACGTTGTGGGTGCTTAACAAATGTGTATGAAATAAATGAATGACCACTCAGACCTTAATACGACATCTCCTTGAACAAGTGTATGTCAGAGTAGAGCGACTTATGTTAACTAGCATGTTTCAATGGAGGATTAAGAAAAATATCTTACCCTAAAAATATCTTGAATCAATATATGCTATACAAAACAAAAGTTACTCATCCCTAATGTTTTAGCATGATTGAACATTTTGAACAGGAATATTTTAAAAAATATATGAGGCTCCTACTACCAACATCACTTACCAAAAAAAATGTGGCATATGGGCTTGTGATTTGTCAGACAGACATTTGCATCTGATATTTTAAATCATTTATTGAAGTATATAGCATGGATCCAGTTAAAAGTAGCATTAAGTTAAGAATGTTAGTCAGTAATAAAGATTTCAAAAACTGATATTAAAATATAAGAGTAGTCAAGGCAACTATTTCAGCCTCTAATCTCCAGCATTTGACATTACAGTTATTGATATCCATCCTGATGTCCTATGGGATAGCATATCCATTCAATCATATATTAGTTCAAATAAATCATTATTCTGTGCTTCCATACCTTTCATTTAAATATAAAAATGTCAAAATTTTACCTTCTAATCTGACCTATAATGATATGTTGTCTAAGTTTGCACTTGTAGATCATTATCAGTGCTTCATTACGTGGTTTGAAACCCTAAGTAATTAGCACTTGCCCCAATCAGCATTATTTCACAATGTAAACTGGATCTACATTTGAATGAAAGATTTCACACTTTAAAAATAATGTAATTTAGTTATCCAGAACTGTTTTTGTTAGTAAAATTGTTGCAAGTATCAGTGTATATCACAGTATAAATATTAAACTTTCATTTACTAGTGTAACTACAGCAATTTTTACTGACTTCTATTGTCACAAAATGGTGCTATTATATATGGCAGTCATATAATTAGTTACTAAAGAATTTGGGGTAGTATTATGCAGAATATAATGAATTTCAAAAAGCACACTGAAGTCAAAGAGATCCTAAATTTTTAAAGTCCAAGCTGCAAATTAGGATTCATTCTTTATTTCTCATGTTCCTCAACCTTAGCCTCAACCTTAGCCTCTGCTTCTAATTTATTATCAAATGCTTTCCATTTCATCTCCAAATTATAAGTACAATCTTTCTATTTCTTTTTTCACTGCCACCATAATAGACTAAGTAACTATCCTTTTTTGACTGGCCTACTGGCAATCACTTCTAACAGGTAACAAAGATACTTCCCTCTTATATAGTGTTTTCTGTAGTCAATATATATTGACAATTAATATTCTCATCAGATTTATTTTTGAAATATTCTAAAAACAGCACTAACATTCCTTAGTTTGGGGGAATAGTGCTGGGTATCAACATGCTGGTATCTGAGCACACTGCAGAATAAAGAGATTTTTATCTCATGCCTCTCTTTCTGTCTTAGATCAATAGGCCACTAAGGCCATAGGGATGAAGCCATGAAGACTTGATCTTAGCCTGACATCTATGTTGTTTTATATATATATAAATATATATATGTGTGTGTGTATATATATACACACACACACAAATATCTATATAATCTTTAATCTGATGGAGAAAAATATTGACAGAAATAAAAAGAGAAATAGACAAATACTCAGCTATAGTTGGATACTTTATCTTAGCTCTCTCAGACACAACAATAAAGCACAAGTAAAAATCAGTAAATATATAAAGATTTGTATAGCATGATGTTGCCAACTTAATGTAATTTATACTAACAACTGCAGAAGACATAATTTTTCAAGTTCTACTATCACCACATTTATTCAGTATTGTACTAGAAGTTCTAAATGGTTCAATAAGGCAAAAAAAGAAGAAAAGCAATACAATTATGAAGATTGGAAAGGAAGAGCACATAATTTTGCATTTTAAAAATGAATCTTTAAATATGATCTAGGATTAATAAGTATAACAAGATTATAGAATAGAATATCATTACATAAAATTTAATTGTATTTTTATATAAAAGAAAAAGATCAAATAGAAAATGAAACAAAATATAAACATTTACAATAAAATGTTTGACTTTTGATGTTTATAAGTAAAAGTTTAAACATTTACAGTAGTATAAAAATTCTATATCTAATACTAAATCTAGCAAAGATGTGCAATACTTCTGCATTTAAAACTAAAAAAAATTGAGAAAAGAATTTTTAAAAGCAAATAAATTGAGAAATATATGACGTGCATGGATTGGAAAATTCAATAATGTTAAAATTTCAATTTTCCCCAAGTTAATCTGTAGACTCACTGTAACTCCACTCAAATCCAAGTTTGATTTTATTTTATGATCTCATTTATTTGTTATTTTTAAATTAAAGACTTATTATTGTGGAAACTCCCAAGCCAATACAAAAATATATATGGAAATAGTCAAGAATAGTCAAGAAAATCTTGAGGAACAAGTTGGAGAGCCATACTATCAAATAACAAAACTTACTATAAAGTTGCAGTCATTGAGCCAGTGTGGTATTTGTGTAACATTATCATAACAAACAAATGAAATAGAATAATATTAAAGTAGATGAATGCATATATGCTCACCTTATTTACAAGATGCCACTACAAATCAGGGTAGAAAAGTTAATCTTTTTAAATAAATGATGCAGGAACAATTAGATAACCACATAGAAGATGACCCTTGACTTCCCTCTCACACCATACACAATTCAAGGCATGAAAGACTTAAATGTAGATGGTGAAATATTAAAACTTAAATAAAAAAATATAGAAATACATCTTCACAAACACAAAGTAGTCGATAGGATGTGAAAAGCACTAACCACAAAAGAAAATGGTGATAAACTGCATTTCATAAAATTAAGACAGTAAAAAGTCAAGCAACAAAATGGGAGAAGAAATTCACAACACAGACCAACCTAATTGAAATTTGCCAAAGGATCTTCAACAGGCATTTAATGAAAAACTATACAAAAATGGCTAGTTAACATATAAATGGATGCTCAACATTAGTCATCAGAAAATGCAAACTAAGCCATAATGTAATACCACTGTATTCCCATCAGAATTGCTAAAATTAAAAAGACTGATAATATCAAGTGCTGACAAAGATTTTGAGCAATTGGAGGTCTATATCAATAGAGGTGCAAATTGGTTCAACTGATTTTGAAAAATCTTTGCTATTATATACAACTAAACCTATAAATGCCCTCTAATCAGCAATTGCACTCATGAGTATACACTCCATAAGGTAAGTTTCAACTGAAAGGCATAGTCAGTAATGTTCACAGTGGCTTTGTAATAGCCTCATAATGGAATTAACCTATGTTCTCCTCATCATAGAGTGGGCAAACATATTTTAGAATAATGTTCATACAGTGGAATACTACATAGAAATAAAAAAGAATATTATGCCAACACAATAAAAGAATGAACTCAGCAACATTTTTGAATCTCAAAGACAAAGCTCAGTGAAAGGCATCAGACACAAAAGAGTACATACTGTATGATTCATTTATATAAATTTCAAAAATAGGCAAAATTAATTTTTAGTGATCGTATTCAGAATAGTCCTTATGCTTGCTAGTTTGGGTACTGACAGGTTGGAGCACAGCAAAAGAAAGCCTTCCTGGGTAATGAAATTTTCTTTATTTTGATAGAGAAAATGTATTTTATATGTAAAATTACATTTAATGTAATTCTATGTAAGTTATACCTCAATAAAATATCACTGAAGACAAGAGCAACAATAAAAAGGTTTGAATAATACTACTCTATGGGACTACTTTGAGGACTGAATGGAATGCATTTTTTTGTATACAAATGGATTCTTTTGGTATTTTGTATACAAATAAGGATGTATTTTGTATAATACCTAGCACATGGTAAGTGCCCAGTAAATATTAGATGTTGTGGGAAAAATAAACATAGACAATATCGAGATTTGTTGATGATGTTCAGAAACTCGAGATCTAATATACTGCTGCCAAAGCATATATTGGTACAACCACTTTGAGGAACAGTTTGACAGTATTGACTAAAGTCAAATATATTTCTAACCTATGATAGAAGTTTCTCTCAGGTATAGAACTAAGAAATATGAGTATATATGACCCGCTCAAAAAGATGCATAGGATTATCCAAAGCTTTATTCATAATAGCCAAACACTGAGATGACTCAAATGCCCATCTGTTTTATTGGACTATCCATTGCTATAACTGAACACTTGAGACTGAATAATTTATAAAGAAAATAAATTTATTTATTACAGTTCTGGAAGCTGGGAAACACAAGGTCAAGGGGCAACATCCCTTGAGGACCTTCTGCTGGTGAAGACTCTGCAGAGTCCCAAAGTGGCACAAGACGTCACATGGCAAAGGGGCCACAGCATGAGCCAAACTGGCTTTTATAACAAACTTAACTCTTGTGATAACTATCCCACTACCATGATAACCCATTAATCCATTAATTTATTAATCCATGAATGGCTTAATCCATTCATGAAGACTCTGTCCTCATGACCCAATCAGCTATTAAAGGCCCCAACTCTCATAATGGGGATTAAGTTTCAACATTACTTTCAAAGAAGAAAAACATTTGAAGCATATCACCATCAACTATTGAATGGATAAATAAGTTGTAGTAGTTCTTATAATGGAATATCACACAATGATATAATGGAACAAACTACTACTACAGGCAATAACAGGGGTAAATGTTGAACAAAAGAAGCAAGGCCAAAAAAGAAGGAGAGTTTACAATTTGGGTCAAGGAAAGAAGCTCAAGACTAGGCTAAATTAATCCATAATGATAGAAGTCAGAGGGGCTACATCTTTGTGGGAATGGTAGTTGCTGACTGGAAAGGAATATTGAAGAGCCTTTGGGATACTGAAAATTTTCTCTAGGTTGATGAGGGGTGGTTACACAGTTGTATACATATTTAAAAATGTCATGAATCTGTATTCATGATTTGTGTACTTTACTGTAGGTATATTATACTTTAATATAAAAATTTTTAATTATTAAAAACTTAGGATGTAGAATAAATAAAATAAAGCGTTTACTTAGGTCCACCACGATTTTAAAACATCAGCAGTAGGACTGCTGACACATTTTATAAACACACTGCAATAACAATTGGATTATATAACAACAGTAGGGGTCATTCTTGGATAAAAAAGAATAGCAACATTAATATTTTCACAATATTTGAGACATAAGTCCATGAACATATTACATTTCATAAATTATGAGATTTAGGGATTACTGAAATGAGAAAGATAAAAATTTTATCACTTAATTGCTATATAAAAACAAATAAGCTAAAGTAAAAAAATATACAATTGTAAATATGAAGTAAAAAGCATACACAATCGTAAAAAAACATACCTTTCTTTTCTTCCAAGCCACCCAAATAACAAAAACATACAGGAAGTAGAAGAAATATGTTAAACTGAAAAGTTCATAAACTAGAAAAATATGAAAAATAAATTTCGAAAAAAATCTAAGAATTAGTTCTTTGAGTATATCAATAAAAGAGATAGTTGACTTGCTAGCTTAATCTAGAGAAAAGAGAAAAAGATGATAATATAATTATTGTATATTTGTTGAAAAAATAATGTATTATCAAAGACAGAGATAAGGACAAAAGATTAATATAAATCAGTTCTTTTTATGCTAACCAATTCAAAACAGATTAAATGACTGATTTGTAAGGAATATATAAATTAACAAAATTGATTAAGAGAAGATGGTTCATCAAAAAGCCAAAGAGAACAATTTTTTAAATTAAGGATGTTGTCAAGTAAATACTCCTCAAAAAAGAAAACACCATTCTCTGTCAATTTTCTTCTTTTGTTTTAGCAACGATTCCATATCTACATGGAATGTACATAAGTCAGCATATTTTTGATACATTAATTTGGAGACTAAAGATGAAATACAACCTCACTATTCTATTACAACAATTGTGTATGTTGATAATAAAACCTGAAAAAAATTCTAAAATTATGCACAAATATTACTGCTAAATATAAATTAAAAATTTTAAAGGAAATATTTGTATATGTATTTTTAAGCTAACTGAAGTGTTTTGGTTTTTTATTGCTAATTTACTTAAACTGGAACTACATTTCCCAGGATTCCACCCCCGCCCCGCCCCCTTATGGTTCTGGTCCAAGATTGACCACAAGAGAAATCTGCATGAGATTTGGGAGGCAGAAGAGAAGCAGCAGTCATTACTCTCTGAAAATCATTGTCGGGATTCAGGTGCTGCTGTTTCACCCACTGGCTCATTTTCTGCAGATCCTCCAGCTCCAACTGATCTCCTCCTTCAGACTCTGAGTCCTGGACCAAATGCAGATTTTTCCGCAAATCTCCCCATAATCCATTTTAAAGATGGCGAATGACAGATGTAGATTTATATTCATGGGTTGCTGATCATAATCCTAGGTTTCAATTTTCCTAACTCTTGCCTGATTTTCTTCCACAGTCAGCCCTGCCAACCTACAGTGGATTGTGGCCCATCCCCAGACACAGGACAGTAGCCTTCCCTAGACTCCTTTACCTGCTTCCCTCTGGATTCACTGGTTAATGACTTATCTAAAATGTCTCCTTCCAGACCTTACTTGCTCAGCTTCTCCCTTATGTACTCCTTGTAATACATCCCTTAGTACTTATCAGTCATAATTGTTCCACTTCCCTGATCAAATGCTGATTGGTCAGTGGTGTTAAATCCAACAATGTAAGGATTGTTTGCATAAGGAAATCTACCATTATAGTTTATCATTTTATATGTCAAATTATCATCTTACAAAAAACCCAAAAAACTTCTATCCCAGAGAGTTTCCAGCAAGTCCTATAACATTCAGTGAGGAAATAATGCCAACCTTACATCATTTCAGATAATGAAAAAACAAGAAACAGCCCCTAACTCAATTTTATCATGTAGCTAAAACAAAATATAAAAATATAACAAGGACAATATGAGAATGTAAATTTATAGATTCATCTTATTACCATAGGTACAAAAGCCTTAAACAGAATTTTAGTATAACAAATCCATTAATATGTGTTTCCGTGTGTGTAAATATATTCAAGTTAAATTTTACCCCAGAAAAACAATGTTGGTATAACTCAGAAAATCAAATAATATAATTCTCCACATTAATAACAAAATATTTTCTAACTTCAATAGGTATAGGAAAATTATGCAATAAAATGTGGAAGTATTCATTTTTTAAAAGTAAGAAAACAAAACCCACTATCACCAGCACTATTCAATAGCTGACAACAATGAAGTAAGAAAAATTATAAGTAGTATAAGGATAGGAAAGGAATAAATAAAACCACCATTATCTGAAGATGAAATAATTATATATGTAGAATATCTTGAAGGGTCTCCAGGCAGAAACTGGCAGAATTTAAAAAGGATGATCATATCAAATCTTGGTAAGGATGTGCAGCTGAGGAAACTCACATACACTTCAGGTTGAAATATACATTTAATTACAAGACAGTTTGGCCAAAAATAACATTATTATGTCCACTTTAAATGCCCTTCAAAACTGGCAATCCAACTTTTCCTTTCTTCTTGTTTACCTTACAAAATAATGGTTTTCCTGCCGTCTCCCATTCTTTAGGTATTCTCTCTCCTCCATCTTCAAAATACATTCAAAACTCAATTTCACTTTCTTCTTTTCTTTTTACTTGTTGGATTCTTTTTTAACGGAAATCTTCCACCTTGCTGTCAACTTCATGAGAGATATCCAAGGCAGGTCACATTTTCAGTTTAAATTTGTTTGGTTACACATTGCAGCATTGTTTATCATCTCATTTCTTCCTGTAACTCCTGCTGCTAATACTAGAATCTGTTTTCATTTACACACAGTTTGTGCCAGGTACACAGTGAGCATTAAACTAATCTGTATTGATGATAATAAATGGAGAAAAAAATTAAACATTGGGAAAGAAACCAAGTTGCTCCTCTGCTATCTTGACTTGCTGTCTTCAAGGATCTGGGATTGATAATTGGAACTTTCACTAGCTCGGAACTTTCACCCAATTAACTTAATTTGGGTCAATATATTTCTTTAGCAATAGAATATTGTAAAATGGTGATGTAGCTATAGATGATCTTATAAATGCAAAAAAAACCTAATTTCTTTCCTGTTAATTGTTTTTCTTAGATGATAGGTTTTACAGTAAATTAAAATGAAGATCAGGCTTGAAGAATCTCTGAGCAAACAATTAGGCCTCACAGGGGAGCTAAACCTTGCTTGATTTGCAAACATAAGTGAAACTTAACTTGAGCTTTTTCTTGTAAATGCCTATATTAAGGAAAAGCAGAACTTTTAAGAACTAGTCAACAAGCTCATAGTTAGAGAACTAGGAGCATTTTTTATTTATTTATTTTTATTTTTTTGAGACAGAATTTTACTCGTTGCCCAGGCTGGAGTGCAATGGCACGATCTCGTCTCACTGCAACCTCTGCCTCTCGGTTCAAGCGATTCTCCTGCCTCAGCCTCCAGAGTAGCTGGGATTACTGGCATGCGCCACCACGCCCAGCTAATTTTGTATTTTTAGTAGAGACAGGGTTTCTCCATGTTGGTCAGGCTGGTCTCAAACTGCCGACCTCAGGTGATCTGCCCGCCTCAGCCTCCCAAAGTGCTGGGATTACAGGCGTGAGCCACCTCGCCCAGCCGATAACTAGGAGCTTTCTAACTGGAGATACTAAAGGAGACAACTGTATAATTGCAACTAATCAAATACTTTATTTTCTTTCTGCATTTACTCCATACTTTCCTCTGACAATCTGTCATCAGCCCATTAAGCCTCTCTTGGTTTGGTGTTACCCAATTCATAAATTACTTCTTACTCAAATTAACTCTTAAAAAAGTATTGTGCCTCAGTTTACCTTTTTAAGAGTTTGGTGTCAGAAAAGTGGGATCTGAAGGAGACCGTCATCAACTCCCAGGAGCAATAAGTAACCAGGAGTAGCACTGAGCCCATGGTGCTCAGTGTTTTCTTTCTTTCTTTCTTTTTTTTTTTTTTTTTTTTTTTTTTTTTTTGAGACGGAGTCTCACTTTGTCGCACAGGCTGGAGTGCAGTGGCGCGATCTCGGCTGACTGCAAGCTCCGCCTCCTGGGTTCACGCCATTCTCCTGCCTCAGCCTCCCGAGTAGCTGGGACTACAGGCGACCGCCACCATGCCCGGCTAATTTTTTGTGTTTTTAGTAGAGACGGGGGTTCACCGTGTTAGCCAGGATGGTCTTGATCTCCTGACCTCGTGATCCGCCCATCTCGGCCTCCCAAAGTGCTGGGATTACAGGCGTGAGCCACCGCGCCCAGCCGGTGCTCAGTGTTTTCTTACCGCCTCTGGGGGTCATGAGTAAGTCCCTCTTAGATTTGAAGCTCTGCAATTTGTGTCCTGAGATCTCTGAGTTTGTTTGAATAATTTTATTTCAGTTTGGATTCTGGGGACAAAATGAGTGTTCAGAAGGAACTGGACTAGGTCCAGGCTAGTGCACTAGTTTCTAGACTAGTCTGTAATCCAAATTGGAATCTGAGAAATTTGTGTTAGATGTCCAACAGGTCAAACAGGGTGTTTGACAGAAACCAGAAAGAGTCCACTTGGAGGCCTTAGTAAGTAAAATTTTAGAAGGACAGTGTATTATAGGTTTGTCAGAATCTAGTGAGTCTCGGACTCGTCTGTCTGGAACTTCAGCTAATTATATGTTCAGAAATTGTGGACCCAGAACCTATTACTTTTTATAGAACTGTTGTATCTCAGGAAGATGACTTAGAGTTACAGTGGCCACAATGGGGGAAGTTTTATTCTAGATACAACTATTCATCTATGAGCACATTAAGAAATGAAAAGGGATCCCCAAAGCCTCCAAAACAATGAGACACATTTTTCAATGGGTATACAGAGGCTCCTAAAGGACAGACTACAGCACACTCATAAAAAATTATTCTGAATCTTTTAACTTGTTTGATTTCTTGCCTTTTCTATTTAAACCTCCCTAACACCAACTTTTTTAAAAAATTAGATTATCAGATGAACCAAAAGCATCTGCAAAAACTCAGTTTAACTTTTGGTCTTGCACACAATTCCAAACTATTATAAAAGCAACTGCCTAAGGCTAAAAAGGATAAAGACTAATTGAAAATAGAATGGATCTCTCCTCCATTCTAGTTCCTCCATTCTAAGTCACTCACCTAACTGTACTCCAGTCTCAATAATATTGACACCTGATAATAGGCAGCTTTGCCCCAAAACTCCATCTTGGAGAAAACTTAATATCCTTTCTTTGTGCCTTTGAGATGTTTAGATCTTTAAAATGCAGGCTAAATTTAGAGAAAAGACTCAAAAGAAGAAAAAAAAGATAAAATTTTTTAGAAATTAACTGGCAAGTGAAAAACCTTGAAAGTCCATCCCACAAATATTAATGAAAAGCTTTAGCCATTTGAACAAGTAACTTTAATTGCCAGAGACTTGATTTGGATCCAATTAGTGAGTTTTATATTATTGTCACTGACACATGGCTAACACTTTAGAACAGAAGCCATGAATTTCTGGTTCCATCTGTATGTTTGTGTATGATTATCTGTGTATGTTATTTATATGTAATATATATTATATATAAATATTAAATATATATGTAATATTTATATGTAATAAATATTAAATATATATGTAATATTTATATGTAATAAATATTATATATAAATATTATTATATATAAATTATTAAATATATATTATATATTTAATAATTTATATATTAATCAACTATTTATTATACTACCTATATATGATTTTTTAGAAATAATATTAAATATTAAAAGATCTGTATGTAATTGACTTAAAAAATAAGCAGCTATATAAATTATTTTCTTAGAAAAGAAACTAATCCGAATAATTTTTAAGTTCACATGACTTGAGTAATGTTTAATAAATAAGAATATTGATGATTTAGTTAAAAAAATGGATATTTTACCTAGCTTTCCTAGTGAAATAAGCTCATATTATCTCTGTTACAAAATTTATCAATAAGGAAAACAATCAGAGGTTACAAGAAATTTTGTTTAATGTTATGTCTGCCTGAAGACAGTTTCCAAAATCTTTTTGAAAACTTGAAACCTTAAAATTATACTAAGCTAATTTAAATGATAGCTATTCATTAAATATCTAAATCATGTCCAAATAAGATAAACTACTAAAATAATTCCTGAACATTAATTTAAGATTGTGTATTCTTGGCTTCTTATTAAATAGGAACTTGAGATATTTGGGTCTGCTGGTAAGCATGTTCTGTGCTATGAGAAAACATATGCTATTTTAAAACTATGAAATAATGTACTGCCTCATTTTGATAAAAATTAAGATTACTAAGTGTTGGGAATAATGCTTAAATTTTTAAGGAAATTGAACACTTAGAGGATTTTTAGCAAAGTAATTTTATTTTTGCACCGAGGGGTGTTTTTTTTTTTTTGGCCAGTTGCCATAAGAGCACACTTGAACAAAGGGGCACAAGAGCCTTTATTTTTGATGCAAGTCTGGCTCTTGTATTTTTTTTTTTTATTGGCCGTGGTCAGGTCGTATAATTTAAACTAATTTTGGTTGGCTAAACATTTGGGTTTTTTTAGATAAGGTGGGCACATAAAAGAAAGAGAGAGGAAAGGGGAAGGGGTGTTTTAATGAGCTGGAGCTGGAAAGTTAGTTTTTTTTTAAATAAGGAAAGGAATGTGAACTGGTACCGGTAACGCCTGGTACTGTGGTGTGCCTGGGCATTTAACAAAGGCAGAAAGGAAAAAGGGAAAAAAGGAGTGCACTAAGGGTTAAGAATTTTAATTAGTATGTATAATTAAAACTAGTAGAAATTGTAACGATGAGAAGAAAAAAGCTATATATGAAAAAATGTACAAAAAAGTAGGATGTGCTGTTAATAAGGAAATGTATAAAAGATGTGTGTTTTCATTAAGGAAAAAATAGAAAGTAAGTTTGCCTTAAGGCAAGATAACTGATTGTTCTAGGATAAAAAAGAGGAAAGACAAAAACTGAATAGATATAGAAAGCTGCAGAAGGTCTGGAATAAAGGAATCTTACATGTGGTCGAACTACAGAGATTAGATGGATTTTATTTATAAGGTTGATTTTAAAATAAAAAGCTTGATAATGTAGGAATATAAATTTGAATTTGGTTTCCCTCTGTTGAAAGGATAAAGGTTTTTTTTTTGAAGCACTGATCTGCTCCTGATTATGAACTTTATTTTATCTTTAAGCAATTGCACTAGAAAACAAAGATTTCATGTTTTATCATGATAATTTTTAATGCTTCATATTGTCTTTCATTAGATATTGAAAGGAGGTAAGTTTTTTAAACAAGTGTTTAACTTCCTGTATTTGCTTTCAAAACTTTTTATCACTTTAGTATTGTTTCACAGTGGCCTGTGATCGTTTAATCAAGCGTCTTAAACCTTTTGATATCTTTTTCCCCAAAGATACATCAAATAGTAAATCTCTTCATGATTCTTTTTGATATTTTTTGACAGCTTCCAAAAATCAAATTCTAAATTAAGTCATTTTGAACTTAAATTAACTTAGGAGTCTCCAGAAGCATCCCTGAAATATCTCAAAAGACTTATTTATTTCTCCATGAACAAAGAGATGTTAATTAGGCTTTTTTGATACATTGAATTGCATGTGAAGCATTGTCAGATAATAAGTGATGTTAAAACTTCTTCAAGTTATGTTTGTTACTGATATGAGTACCCAGAAATTATATGAAATTTCTAAAAACCTGATATATCCTGGTATATTGATACCAGTAATAATTCTAATTATTATGTTAAAATGTATGTCACCAAAACAACTACATTTCTTTGTCAGTTGTATGATACAAAATCGCAAAAGTTTAATTAAAAATATTCTGATAAGTACATGCTTCAGATAACTTTAAGATTATGCTATTGGACTAGGTAAGAATTTTGAGAACTGTAATTAAAAAAACTGATGGACTCATAAAACTTAAGATCAAACAAAACAAAAATAAATGTTATGGGACTGAGTTAACTGGTGAAAATAATTATAATTTGTATAACTTTTTGTTTAAAACATTGCTGGTTCCTTAATGTCTTATTTTTCATATTTAAGGAACTATTTTTTCTTTTCTCTTAAGCTTTCTATAAGTTACAGCAATTTGATAAAATGTGCTTTTGAAAACAAAAATGGAACATTTACAATTTTATTCCTGCCTGATTGCTCCAGAATTTGGAAACTCTTATTAAATATTTTTATCTTTATTACAATATGGAGGTTGGCATAGGTTCAATAAAAATCTATTCTTCTTGTAACAAGACATAATTAGGCAGGTCCTTGGCTTGGGTTCTTAGCCTAGAGAGGTTTTTAAGGTCTATCTTAAGATTTCTTATTACCAGATAGTTTTTAAAAACTAAGTTGACTGATACAAAGTCAATAATGTTCCTTTGGTGTTACCAAAGATTTGGCTAAAATAATGTTTTCATTTCGTATTTTTTTTGTTTTTTGAGACGGAGTCTCGCTCTGCCACCCAGGCTGGAGTGCAGTGGCGCGATCTCTGCTCACTGCAAGCTCCGCCTTACGGGTTCACGCCATTCTCCTGCCTCAGCCTCCTGAGTAGCTGGGACTACAGGCGCCCGTCACCACACCTGGCTAATTTTTTGTATTTTTAGTAGAGACGGGGTTTCACTGTGTTAGCCAGGATGGTCTCGATCTCCTGACCTCGTGATCCGCCCGTCTTGGCCTCCTAAAGTGCTGGGATTACAGGCGTGAGCCACCGTGCCTGGCCTAAAATAATATTTTAAAATATATATAGCCTTACTATTCTTCTTTCACTTATGTAAATAATCAGGTGAAGTTTACTTATTTTGTAAAAGAGAAATTAATCATACTGTGATTATTCTGGCATAATGGAAGTGACTATATAAAAGGAGAAAGCCATAGTACACCCATTAGCAGATTCTACTTCTGTTTATTTTTCTTTAAGGTTTTGTTATGCATCTGTTAATGGGATTGAATCTCAAAATTTTCTAGTTTCACTAAAATCTAAAACTGCCCTTCTCCCAAGGGCATTCAAGTTTCCTGAATGCTGAAACTTGATGACTTTCAGCTTCAGAAAATCACTTCAATAGATCATGCATGGATGACCTTCAGACCTGCTGCTACACAGGATGCTTAAGAGAGTTTACCGGAACACCCCCCGATGACATAACCAAAGACATCCAACTGCCATCCTCATTCCACCATCTAAGGATGGTTCAAACTCGAATCTAGATGTCTTGACTCACTACCCTACGGCCTCAAAAACCAAGAACATAATTTGCTCCAAATATAAACCTTTGTTTTTATTTTGTTTTCATAGAACAATACTTTGAATTCCTTTCAAGCAATACAATCTGAAATGAACAATTTAACTGCAATAGTACTTCAAAATAGAAGTTCTTGCTACCTTAACAGCCCAATAAGGAGGAGTGTATGCTGTTATTGATAAAAAAAAAAAAAAGTTGCTTCTGTGTTAATAAATTAGAAACGGTTGCTCAAAATTTAAAGACTCTTAAGAAACAAATATAAGTCTCTTGCTAGATAGGTGCTGCCTCCTCCATTGATTTATTTAGTTGGTTAATTCTTGGTTCCTGGGAATATCTGCCTCAGGAATTTTTTTAATCCTTGGCTATTTTTATCACTCTTTTCATTATATTCACCTCCCTAGTGTGTTGTATCCTCTCAAAGGTTTTGAATGCTTTCCAGCAGCTACTCACACATCAAATGATTGCCATCAGGATTAGACAACATGCAGAACTCAACAACCCAACCACCAACGCCTACAGTGACTTTGCAGTTTTTGATAACAATGACTATGTGACCTCTCATCCCAATGCAATTATTGATGATGATTGTATCTACATGACTCTTTGTTCCAGTGACTACATCAATAGTGACAACCATAAGTAATGCTATAGCATTTGGTCACACTCTCAGATTGCCAAAAGGTTGACCAAAAGAGGGAAACTGTTAAACTAAAATGAATATCAGACCTAAAGAATCTGGGCAAACAAAACCAGTTACGTCTCATAAGTGACCTAAATCTTGCTTGATTTGCAAACATGGGTAAAACTTAACTTGAGCTATTTCTTGTAAGTGCCTGCTATTAAGGAAAAACAGAACTTAAGCTCAATCAATCAGAAGTAGCCAAGAAACTTATAACTATATAACTAGAAATTTTCCAACCGGATAGACCAAAGAAAGCAACTGTATAATTGCAATCAAATAATTTTTTTATTTGCTTCCACATAAACCCAGTAAATACTTGCCCTGATGATATGTCATGGGAACATTAAACCTCTCATGGTTTGGTGTCTCCCAATTTATCAATTACTCAAACTTCTTACTCAGTCTTTAAAAAAGAAATGTTATTGTGCCTCAGTTTACCTTTTTTCCTTCAGAAAACCATAGATTCACCACACCCCCTTTTTTTTTTTTTTTTGAAACAGAGTCTCACTCTGTCACCCAGGCTGGAGTGCAGCAGTGTGATCTCAGCCCACTGCAACCTCCACCTCCCAGGTTCAAGCGATTCTCATGCCTCAGCCTCTTGAGAAGCTCGAATTACAGGTGCACGCCACCACACCTGGCCAATTTTTGTATTTTTAGTAGAGATGAGGTTTTGCCATGTTGTCCAGGCTGGTCTTGAATTTTTTGCCTCAAATGATCTACCCACAAAAGTGATGGGATTACAGGCATGAGTCACCATGCCTGGCCCAGTTTATCTTTTTAATACAGATACTGAATGAAGCTCAGCAGGAAAGTCATTTTCAACTTTTGACACAGTCACCTGCAATGGTTGTTAAAGCAGCAGATTTTCCAGCCCTATACAGAAAGATTCCCATTTAGAAATTTTGAGATGAGGCTTACTGATCAATATTTTTAGCAAAGAACATATTCATTCAACAAATATTTTTGAGTGCTAGTCATTAATATTTTATTTTATATATAGCTGGGAACAAAACATCAAAATTCTTGCTTTTGTGGAGCTTACAATTCAGTGAGAAGCTCTAACATAAGTGTTTGTAGTATTTAACAGCAGTCTTTAACTCTCCTATGCTTTCTAAATATTGTTGTTTATAGTAGTATCTACTGTGTTTGGTGTGACCTTTGGATGAGGAACTATTTTGGGAAGGTACAATATTAATGTTAATGATACAATGACCACATATCTATATGCTATATCTTGATTTTCTTTCTAATTTTCAAAGCCATGTATCTGATTGAAACTGCCATTGCAACATATACACCATGGAATACTATGCAGCCATAAAAAAGGATGAGTTCATGTCCTTTGTAGGGACAGGGATGAAGCTGGAAACCATCATTCTCAGCAAACTATTGCAAGGATAAAAAACCAAACACCACATGTTCTCACTCATAGGTGGGAATTGAACAATGAGAATACTTGGACACAGGAAGGGGAACATCACACACCCACACACCGAGGCCTGTCATGGGGTGGGGGAAGGGGGGAGGGATAGCATTAGGGGATATACCTAATGTAAATGATGAGTTAATGGGTGCAGCACACCAACATGGCACATGTATACATATGTAACAAACCTGCATGTTGTGCACATGTACCCTAGAACTTAAAGTATAATAACAATAATAAAAAGGAAATTGCCATTGCAAAATTATAACTGAAAAAATGAAAGAGAAGTGGCCATGTGGCCTAACCAACTCCTTTTTACTTCTAACCTCCAAGCTGTCCTTGTTCATTCCTGAGTATAGGCCAAACTAACTTTGGGAGGAACTTAGTTTATAGTTTAGCTTTGAAACAAAAATGATAATAGCACATTCCTGAACAAAACCCCTTCTTTCCTGTGAACCAGATTGCCTTTGTAGTATTAACAAATTAGCTACAAGTTTAGAAATTAAGATTTAGGGGCCATGCAGCTTCTGGCTTCAAGAGTCTCAACCTTCCCAAATTGCTTCTGGGAATAACATTGCTGTTCTGAAATCAGCGATCAGTGCTTGAGATACTTTGCAGACCCTGTGTTCTGACACACCGGCTAACACCACCCAAACTGGTAATCTGGCTCAACCAATTCTATGATTCCATCCAAGGAACAGAAGACAGCAAGAAAACTCACTGAGACACTCTATTATTTTATCTCCAATCCAACCAATCAGCACTCTAAACTTCCCAATTCCCTACTTGCCAAATTATCCTTAAAAACTCCAGTTCCCAAGTTTTTGGGGGGACTGATTTGAGTAATAATAAAACCATGGTCTCTTACACAGCCAGCTCTGCGTGAATTGCTCTTTCTCTATTGCAATTCCCTTATCTTGATAAATTGGCTCTGTCTAGGCAGCAGGCAAGGTGAACCCGTTGGGAGGCTCATGATCTGTAGCTTTTTGATTATAAAATATGCTCTTTCAAGTAAAACAGTAAGATCCATGATGATGTAAAATAGGAGAGGCTTTCAAATCTACCTATTTTTGAAAGAGCATTGAAAACTCTCAACTGTAACACTATAATTTTAAAAATGAAGCAATGGATACTGATATTAATTGGGAAAAAGAACATTCAAATTTTCCTTAATATCAGTTTATTTAAGAGAGGAATGTTTCTTTCCACTTTTAAGGACTTTCATAAGACCCTTTTCCCTCCTACCCCCAACAAAAAGACCTGTTACACAAGCTGTAGAATTTCAGCAAATGTAAAAACACTATTAGTCACATCAGGCTCAACAGCTAAAAATCAAAGCCAAGTACTGACCCATAATCATTTCTTCCCAAGAAAATATACTCTTTTAAGCAGAAAGAGTGAGATAGTGCTCTCTGCAACAAAGAATTGTCCAAAAAGCCAGGAAACTATGGTTGACCCAAACAAATATGCCAGAATAAAGTGAGGGTATATGCTATTTGAGATGTTTCATTCAGATACAGCCACAGTGTCCTGTCAGTATTTTTAGTTATTGCTAACAGAAGCTTTCTCAGGCTGATCGAAAGGAAAAAAAAATTGGGGAAAGCTGGCAAACAGATTTGAGACTAATGTTCCACATATAACAAATGACCCAAACTGTCTTCTAGCACCATGTCAGAAGAAAACCTCTGCCAATGCTACTGAGCATAGACAGTGAGTTTTCATTGCTCTTATTTTTGTGCCAGAAACTCAGATCTAAAAATTTTCTGCCCTTTTGTGCCACCAACTCCTGAACTTTGATGAAGTTGCAGTGAATTGGCAGAATTTGTGTTACAATCCTGTGCCTTAGCTGCAAGGGAGCCTAGGAAAGAATTTGACATTTCCAGTTTCAAAGTGAGATCCTTTGTGTCCTCCACCAAGATTCATAAAAATGGTTAACTCCTTAGCCACAAGCTTAAATGATGTACAAACTGAATGATAAAGAACAGTTGCAGCCTTGTCTGGCTAATTCTTTTTATTTTTATTTTTTTACTTTCCACTTTTGGGAAATGCTAAACCTAAAAACTTTGCTATGGAGATAAGGACTCCATGCTCTTAAAAAAATCTAAAATAGATTAATGTAAGTATCTTTTCCTTTCAAGGGCATAAGAAAGTTGATTTCTTTCCCAGTGAATCACTCACAGAATGGAAAATGATCCTTAGTTATATATGAACATAATGAAATGTAAGCACTGTAATTATTTCTGCAAGATGAACACAAATAGTTTAGATGACTTTAAATTTGGTAGAAGAAAAAGAATATTTTCAGTGTGTTCTAATACTCTTCTAATGTTACTGACACGATGATCACAT